>NC_000003.12:196121566-196272565 GCF_000001405.40 Homo sapiens
TGGCTGCAAAGAGGCCAAGGCCCCTCCACTTGGAGAGGCCTTCAGTGCCCATTTCAGCAGCCTCGTCCAGTGCTCCTCCAGCTTCAGTATGTGCCTGAGTCCCCTTGGAATCGTGTTAAAATACGGACTCTGCCTCAGTGGTTTTGGGGTGGGGCCTCAGGTGCAGCCTCCGTGTCCCAGTCAACAGTTAGGGCCACCATACTTAGCGGCAAGTCATCTACTCATAGGTAAGTGGTCAGTAACTAAGGAGGACCA
Source organism: Homo sapiens (assembly GCF_000001405.40). NCBI lineage: Eukaryota > Metazoa > Chordata > Mammalia > Primates > Hominidae > Homo > Homo sapiens. The sequence continues at coordinate 196,121,822 of NC_000003.12, forward strand.
GTCAGGCCGGATGCAGCTGGAATATTTCTCCCCATCAAGATTCATGGAACAAATAATGATAGCGAACACCAAGAAAGCACAACCACCGCTCTACACCCTTTACATGAACTCATTTAATCTTCAAATCCGCCCCAAGAACAGGTGACTAATATTATCCTATTTACAGATGAGAAAACCAAGCACAGAGAGGTCAGGAGACTCACCTAGGCTGGTGAGTAGCAAGCTGGGATTTGAACCCAGGCCACCTGGCTCTGGAGTTGTGGGTCTTGACAGATCCCGGTACTTCTGTACACTGGGGCTGTAGAATGTGAGCAGTTGCGCAAGACTCAGGATGGAGTGTGTTGTCTCGGCCGGGCTGAGACAAACATGTCTGTGATCTATTATCAGAATCTTTTCAAACTATGATGAGCTCTCCAAAGTTTGTTTCAAAATACTGTAAGCCTTCCCCCTCACCAGGCTTGGCCCAGAAAATATCTTTTATCGTCAAACGACTTCAAAACTTGTTTGTATTTTAATAGAAGCTTAGTTTCTTAGGAATTCTGAAACAGTGTTTAAAATAATCAGTATGGGCTTCAGGAATTTTATCTTGAACTTCCTCACTCTGGGGCACAGGTTGTATTCATGTGCTTCAAACGTTGTTGATCTGTCTTGTCTGAGTTTGTGGGGAAACGGGGCCGTGTTAACCTCTCGTTTGTTGTTTGATCCATGGCCGTGTGTGGTCACGGGAGGAACTCGTGGTGGTGGGGCTGATCGCTGGTTCAAGGATCAGAATAAGAAGGTTCCAGTGCTGCTCTGTCTCCAGTTTGCTGTGTGGCCTGATCGGCTTATAGCCCTTCTCGGGGCCTCAGTTTCCCCATCTGTACCATGAAAGGTCTGGCTAGATGCTCCGAAGTGCTGGACGTGGTGCGTTCTTGTTGAGGGGGTCTTGATCTTTGTCAGGGTTTCCCCAACAGCTGCCAATTTTCTGCATGATTTTCATGCCGAAGGGTGACTGGTTCTAGCAAAGCAAGGAGCGCCCAGTGAAGGCCCAAATGCAGGTGAGAACTTCGTGGATGAACGAGTGTTGACAGAGATCTGGGCTTCCTCTCGGTGGTTCTGGGTCCCTTCAACTTGTTCCCAGCACTCATCTTTCCTCATGTGGCCCAAGCACCTTGATATTTTATAACCTGCTTGACTTCTTCCAGTTCCTACTTCTAGCCCCTTGCTAGACTCCCTCACCATCTCCCTGCTGCCCACCACCCCTCCGAGTCCACACTTCTTACCAGGCTCCCAAGCCCCACGTGTTCTGCGGACATCCCCAGAGGCCTCCTCGCCCCCCAGCCTGAGCGGCCTCTCTAACCGCATTTTCCTTCTTCCCCCTGGGCTTCCCTGCGAGCCGGCCCACTGCCTGGGGTGCCCGTCCTCCCTTGCTTGACCAGTAAACGCTGACTCATCCCTCAAGACCCTCCTTGTGAAACTGCCTTTGCAAAAACCGTAACAGAAAATTACGACAGTGAACGAGACCAGACCTATCTGACCTCATCTTTCTTCTAACCTCGAAACTGTCCTTCGTCATTCCTGGGTGTAAGCTGAACTCTCTTTGGGAAGGGATTTAGTGTATGGTTTATGGAAGAGCCCTTCCTAGAAGGCTAAACTGTTCTTTTAAAACAAATGAAAGGCCACCAGCCAGCAAGTCCAGATGAGAGCGGCTGGAATTCTAAATATTCCCAGCCATTATTCCAGAGGCCATAGGATTTGCAGCTTCCACAGTGAGTCTTGAAGGTAACTTCACTCCAGGAGCTGACTCAGCAGAAGAGAACAGTTTCCATTCCCTGTGATTTTTTTTTTTTTTTTTTTTTGACATGGAGTCTCCCTCTGTCGCCCAGGCTGGAGTGCAGTGGCACAATCTCGGCTCACTGCAACCTCTGCCTCCCGGGTTCAAGCGATTCTCCTGCCTCATCCTCCTGAGTAGCTGGGACTACAGGCACACACCACCATGCCCAGCTAATTTTTGTATTTTTAGTAGAGATGGGGTTTCACCATGTTGGCCAGGCTGGTCTTGAACTCCTGACCTCAGGTGATCTGCCCGCCTCGGCCTCCCAAAGTGCTAGGATTACAGGTGTGAGCCACCACGCCTGGACGGTGACTCCCTGTGATTTCACCCCCTAGCCAACCAGTCAGCATTCCGATTCACGGGCCCCCTACCCACCAAATTATCCTTAAAAACTCTGATCCCAAGTTTTCCAGGAGACTTATTTGAGTAATAATAAAACTCCGGTCTCCTGCACAGCCGGCTCTGAGTGAATTTCTCTTTCTCTATTGTAACTGCTCTGTCTTGATAAATCAGCTCTGTCTAGACAGTGGGCAAGGTGAACCCCTTGGGCGGTTACACTTGGAGAAGGGTTTTCCAAGGAGCCTTTTATGGTCTGTCCTGGTAAAGCAAGTTATCCATCATTTGTGCTTCCACTGGATCTCATGCTGATCACCGTGATTTCAGATCCACCATTTTATTCGTTTGGATGTGTTCAGCTGCAAGTAACAGACCACCTCACTAACAGTGGCTTAAGCAATAGAGACATTTAATTATCTCTCAGGGCTGGGTGCAGTGGCTCACGCCTGTAATCCCAGCACTTTGGGAGGCCGAGGCAGGCAGATCACGTGAGGTCAGGAGTTCGAGACTAGCCCGGCCAACATGGTGAAACCCCGTCTCTACTAAAAATACAAAAATTAGCCAGGTGTGGTGGTGCATGCCTGTAGTCCCAGCTACTCGGGAGGCTGAGGCAGGAGAATCGCTTGAACCCGGGAGGTGGAGCTTGCGGTGAGCTGAGATCGTGCCACTGCACTCCAGCCTGGCAACAGAGTGAGACTCCATCTTAAAAAAGAATAATAATCCTCTCTCGGCCATCTGGCAGTGGCCCCATTAGGGTTAGTTCTTCAAGGACCTAGGACCTTTCCCTTCTATTATCCTTAGTGTGCTGGGTGTGTCTTGCCTCATGGCAACCAGATGGTGGCTGCAGCCTCAAGCATCACATCCTCACACCTCAGCGTCCAAGAAGGAAGAAAGGCAGTGGGGGAAAGCACCTTTTATTCATGAGTGTATCTTTTTGTAGACGGAAAATCCTTACTGTGGAGCACCCAGTAGAGATTTCCTTATGTATAATTAATTGGCCAGTGCCAAGTCATGGGCCCACCAACCAAGACTAATCATTGACAAGGGGAATAGGATTGCATGATTAATTTCGACCAGTCATGGGTCATCCCCTGTGACTAGGTACATTCAGGCTTCTGTGGTCAAGAAATAAGAGAAATGAACTTTGGGTAGATCATTCGGCTCCGTTGAGGTCCATGGACCAACAACATTGGCATCAGCTGAGAATTTGCTAGAAATGCAGACTCTCAGGCCCCACCTTGCACCCAATGAATCCGAATCTGCATTTGAACAAGATCCTCCAGGTGATTCGTACGCACCCATAGTCTGAGAAGTGCTATGGTTACCCGAGTCAAATCGTAAGCGCTAGTGCTTTTTTTGTTTTGTTTTGTTTTGTTTTTTTGAGACGGACTCCTGCTCTGTCACCCAGGCTGGAGTGCAGTGGCGTGATCTTGGCTCACTGCAACCTCTGCCTCCTGGGTTCAAGCGATTCCACTGCCTCAGCCTCCCGAGTAGCTGGGACTACAGGCATGCACCACCACGCCCGGCTAATTTTTTGTGTTTTAGTAGAGACGGGGTTTCACCATGTTGGCCAGGATGGTCTCGAACTCCTGACCTCATGATCCACCCGCCTTGGCCTCCCAAAGTGCTGGGATTACAGGCGTGAGCCACCGCACCCAGCCAAGCGCTTTTTTTCGTGGAGTCTTACTCTTGTCACCCAGGCTGGAGTGCAGTGGTCCCTATAGGGAGTAGGGATTATGTCTTATTGATCTCTATAGGGAGCTCTATAGGGAGCTTAGCATATATAGGGAGTAGGGATTATGCCTTATTGATCTCTATAGGGAGCTCTATAGGGAGCTTAGCATAATAGGTTCTCCACAAAGCTGCTTAAGTAGGTGAGAAATGACTTTCTGAGTGTGGACTCCTATACCTGCTCTTGGCCTCTTTTCCTACCCTTGGTATCTATCCCTGTACTTCATTGTTTTAATCAATATATTTATTTATTTGTTTGTTTTTGAGATGGAATTTCACTCTTGTTGCCCAGGCTGGAATGCAATGGCGCAATCTTGGCTCAACACAACCTCCGCCTCCCGGTTCAAGTGATTCTCCTACATCAGCCTCCCGAGTAGCTGGGATTACAGACACCTGCCACCACACCCGGCTAATTTTTGTATTTTTAGTAGAGATGGGGTTTCTTCATGTTGGTCAGGCTGGTCTCAAACTCCCGACCTCAGGTGATCCACCTGCCTCGGCCTCCCAAAGTGCTGGGATTACCGGTGTGAGCCACTGCACCTGGCCTATTTATTTTATTGTATTTATTTTATTTTATTTTATTTTATTTTAATTTTGAGATGGGGTCGCACTCTTTCACCCAGGCTGGAGTGCAAGGGAGTGATCACAGCTCACTGCAGCCTCAACCTCCTGGGCTCAAGCGTTCCTCCTACCTCAGCCTCTGGAGTAGCTGGGACCACAGGTGTGAGCAAACCACATCCAGCTAATTATTTATTTTTAAATTCTTTTTATTTTTTTGTAGAGATGGGGTCTCACTTTCTTGCCCAGGCTCATCTCAAACTCTTGTGCTCAAGTGATTCTCCCACCCGGGCCTCTCAAAGTGCTGGGATTATGGCGTGAGCCACCGCACCCAGCCTGCCCCTGCACTTTATTAGAGGCCCCAATTTTCTTTCTTTCTTTCTTCCTTTTTTTTCAGATGGAGTCTCACTCTGTCGCCCAGGCTGGAGTGCAGTGGCACGATCTTGGCTCACCACAACCTCCGCCTCCTGGGTTCACGCGATTCTCCTGCCTCAGCCTCCTGAGTAGCTGGAACTACAGGCGCACGCCACCATGCTGGGCTAATTTTTGTATTTTTACTAGAGTCGGGGTTTCACTATGTTGGCCAGGCTGGTCTTGAACTCCCGACCTTGTGATCCGCCCACCTCAGCCTCCCAAAGTGCTGGGATTACAGGCATGAGTCACCGCGCCTAGACTAGATGCTCCAATTTTCACTTCTTGACCTGACCAGGCACCTTTAAATGTCCACACTCAAGACCTGACTCTCTCAAGTGCCTGAAGTCAAAGACATCTTTTGTCCTTAAAAAACAAAATTCCTCCCATAGTCTGCAGTTGTGAAAGGTCCTGGCGGTCTGGACATGTACTCGCTGTTGATAGTCCTGTTGTATGTGTAGCTTTTGCTGGAAGGTCCTGGCGGTCTGGACACGTACTCGCTGTTGACAGTCCTGTTGTATGTGTAGCTTTTGTTGTGAGCTGCCTCAAATGCTTTTTTGGAAGTAGGTGTGGTATAAATAATAAATAAATGAGTGAATATCTGGAAGTGTGGCTGTTTTTATTTAATCATGGGAGAATGTGGTTACCTCTGCGATAAGTCCCTCTGGCTAAGAGTAAACAGGATGGCCCGGCCCCTGTCTAGAATCTAAAAGCTGCAGGCTGATACAGAGGACGGGCGTGGTAGGAGCTGGTTTGAGACTCGACCTTCCTTTTTGGTGCAGCTTGCTGGTTGTGTAGTAGGTGAGTTTCAGAGAGGAAAAGGTCTGAAGCCTCATCACTGCCATCAGAGCAACTGTCTGTGTGATGAAAGGATCCCTCTGCCTGGGCCTTATTTTCCGCAAGCGAATAACAAGGAATTTGGGTTAGATTGCCTCAAAAGGCCCTTTGAACTTGGCTGATGTGTGTGTTTTGAGGGAGAGGATCTGTGAGGTGCTTCCCAGAGTGAGGGTGGGGCTGACCGTGCAGGGCAGGGGGGACAGGAAATAGCACCCTGACCGCTTTCCTTCTCAACCACCTGAGGCCGTGGCCGTCTCACAGGAGCTGGGAAGGAGCTGATAAGAGGGCTTACTGGCCCCCTGCCATAAAAGGATGCAGTTCCCACTCTTGAAGCTGTTCTGTCCCGGGCAGGAGGCTCAGCAACAGAGAGCCCCTGACACCCCTGCTCTGTGCTTTTGGCTTGGGGGACTGTCCCCTCTGTGCTCCAAGTGGATTCAGTGGCCAGCCTCTTCCCCACCCAGCCTCAACCAGCACAGAGCAGCCAGGACAGGGCAGGCAGAGGGAGGAAAAGTTTGCAAAAGTGGGGTGCTTGGGGCACAGACAACCCTCAGGTGCCTGGGGGATCTGAGGGGGCTCCTAAGTGATGAGAAAGCAGCAGGGGAGGCCCCCCCCAGTGCCCTGGTCGAGGAGAAGAGGGGCTCACATTTGCTGTGCTGCCCAGGCTGTAGTGCAGTGGTATGACCACGGCTCACTGCAGCCTCCATCTCCCAGACTCAAGTGATCCTCCAGCCACAACCTCCTGAGTAGCTGGGACTACAGGCATGTGCCAAGATGCCTGGTTAATTTTTTATTTTAAGTGGAGATGGGGTCTTGCTCTCTTGCCCAGGCTGGTCTCAAACTCCTGGGCTCAAGCGATTCCCCAACCTCAGCTTCCCAAAGTGCTGGGATTGCCGGCATGAGCACCACATCCACCGCATCGCTGGCTTTGAAGATGAAGAAGGGAGCGACAAGCCAAGGAATACAGGTGATTGACTGCCTGTCATTAGCGCGGTGGCTCACGCCTGCCATTGCCTGTTGTCCCCGTCCTCTGTGGCCCTCTTGGCTTCTGTATCACTGTCACGCGTAGCAGGGCCAGGCTTGCTGAACTGAACCGAAGCAAGAAGACAAGGGAAGGGCTGTGGGAAGCGTCCATCATGAGGCTCCGTGTCCTCCTCCCAGGCCTCGCCTGGCCTCGCCTCAATTCACCTCGGGCAGCAGCTCAACATGTGGGATTTCAAGACTAAGCCTGAAGATCAGCCAGAAGCAAGCTCCTCACCCCTGACCTGGCCGTTCCCTTCCCCGAGGCTTTGTGGCCACAGTCCTAGAAGACGGAGACATGCTTTGGACTAGCCTCCAGGAGTCAGGGCCCTTCAACACCATTTTTTTTTTTTTTTGAGAGAGGATCTCACTATATTGCCCAGGCTGGCCTTGAACTCCTGCGCTCAAGAGATCCTCCCACACAGCCTCTCGAATAGTTGGGGCAACAGGTGCCCACGACCACACCAGCTCCGTCGCTCTTCTTGAATGTACCTGGAATCCTGGTCTGAACTGAGCGGTTGGCTGAACTTTCCTCTCTTTTTGCCTCTCTCCAGGCTGAGAGATGAGCCCTGCTAAGGAGCAGATTGCTCAGTTATAGAATATTTACAGTCTTGTATTGTAGAGAACAGTTCACAAAGCCCCTTCTGCTTATTTCATTTAGTTGCTGCCAGTCAGCAAGATGGATGCCATAATCATCATCTCCATGTCACAGCTGAGAAAACCAAGGCTCCGAGAGATCTGAGAAAACCAAGGCTCCTGGCTGGGCGTGGTGGCTCACACCTGTAATCCCAGCACTTTGGGAGGCCGAGGCGGGTGGATCAGGAGGTCAGATCGAGACCATCCTGGCTAACATGGTGGAACCCTGTCTCTACTAAAAATACAAAAAATTAGCTGGGCATGGTGGTTGGCGCCTGTAGTCCCAGCTACTTGGGAGGTTGAGGCAGGAGAATGGCGTGAACCTGGGAGGTGGAGCTGGCGGTGAGCTGAGATCGCGCCACTGCATTCCAGCCTGGGCGACAGAGCAAGACTCCATCTCAAAAAAAAGAAAAAAAGAAAAAAAAGAAAACCAAGGCTCTGAGAGATCTCAGAAAACCAAGGCTCAGAAAGATCTGAGAAAACCAAGGCTCTGAGAGATCTATTTTCTGTTGTTGCTGTAACAACTGAACACAAATCGAGCATCTTAAAACCACACAAATGGGGTGGGCACAGTGGCTCATGCCTGTAATCCCAGCACTTTGGGAGGCCGAGGCTGGTGGATCACTTGAGGTCAGGAGTTCAAGACCAACCTGGCCAACCTGGAAAAACCCCATCTCTACTAAAAATACAAAAATTAGCCAGGCGTGGTGGTGCACGCCTGTAGTGCAGTTACTCTGGAGGCTGAGGCAGGAGAATCGCTTGAACCCGGGAGGCAGAGGTTGCAGTGAGCTGAGATCACGCCATTGCACTCCAGCCTGGGTGACAAGAGCAAAACTCCATCTCAAACAAAACAAAACAAAAAACCCCACAAATGTATTAGGTCACAGTTCTGTGGGTGAGAGGTCCAGGCACAGCACGGCTCACTGCTTTACAAGACCAAAATCAAGGTATAGGCCAGGCTGCCTGCCTTTCTGGAGGTTCTGGGCATGAATCCGCTTCCAGTCCTGTGAGGGCTACTGGCAGAATTCAGTTGCGTGTGGTGTGGGACGAAGGGCTTGTTTCCTGCTGGCTGCCACCTGGGGGCCTTTCTCAGCTTCTAGAGGCCACCTGCAGCCCTTGGCTTGTGGCTCTGTTCCTTCCTCTCCAAAGCCAGCGATGGTGGCTGCTGCTCATGCTTCCAAGCTGTCTGGCATCCTTTGTGTCTTACGTCTCTTCTGCCTTTATCCAGAGCGAGTTTTCCACTTTTGAGGGCTCCCGTGATTAGACCGGGTCCACTGGGATAACCAAGGATAAAACCTCACTCACATTTGCAAAGTCCACTTTGCTGTGTGGTATAACACAGTCACAAGTTCTGGGAATTAGGGCACGGACATCCCTGGGGACCATGATTCCGCCTACCACAGAGTGGCTTCCAAACCTGTCGCTAAGCTCGTAAGTGGCAGAGGTGGAAGCTGAAGATCCTCTGGCTGCTGAACTCTTTCCACCACATCCCTGCTGCTTTGGGCCATCATTTACGTCAACCCAGCTGAGCCCAGGAAGAAGACCGTCTCGAGAGAGTATTTCTGCAGGCCCTCGGTCACCCGGACTGGCTCCTCACCCCCTGCGACTGTCCCAGAAGTTCTCTGGAAGTCAAAACTAATTGATACAAGATGGGGCTGAGGCAAGTCGAGGGCCTCTGCCTGTTTCTGTTGTAGAAGCCTCCAGGAAGGCCTCACATCGCCGGTAGATGTCCTGGGTACCGCGGAGTGCACTTCCTTTCCCGTCCAGATCGGGCAGGGTGAAAGAATGAGCTGGAGATTCCGAAATAAACCAGCATCCCTGACTGCGGCAGACACGGCCCCTCCAACGTCTGCCTCTGGTCCGCAGTAAAAGTATATTTATTCCTTCCCATCAGGAACTTCCCCCTATAAGCAGATTGGATGCTACATACCTTTCACTCATTCACGATTCATTCACTCATGATCGTACCCCTGCTTTGTGTGGGGCACATTCTAGACACTCCAGATCTATCAGTGAACAGAAGAGACAGGCCTCATGGAGCCTGCATTCTGGTTGTGGCAAGGAGAGGGTTGACAGTTATAAATAAACACAGTATATGAGTTAATGATGTCATATGTTAGAATAAGAGCTATTAAAAAAAAGAGAGGGTGACAGGATACGGGGATCAGGAGTGCTGGTGGGAATGCAGACGGCACTGTTAAACATGGGGGACAGCCGGGCGTGGTGGCTCAAGCCTGTAGTCCCAGCACTTTGGGAGGCCGAGGCAGGCGGATCGCCTGAGGTCAGGAGTTCGAGACCAGCCTGGCCAACATGGTGAAACCCCATCTCTACTAAAAATACAAAAAATTAGCTGGGTGTGGTGGTGGGCACCTGTAATCCCAGCTACTCAGGAGGCTGAGGCAGGAGAATTGCTTGAACCCGGGAGGTGGAGGTTACAGTGAGCCAATATCACACCATTGCACTCCAGCCTGGGTGACAAAAGCGAGACTCTGTCTCAAAAAATATATATACATATATGGGGGATAAGGTGTGTTTCACTGAGAAGATGAGGTTTGAACAAAAACTTGAAGGAGAGATGTAGCGAAATGGATACTTGAGGTGGGAGCATTCCACGTAGAGGGGGCAGCCATGCAAAGTCCCTGAGGCAGAAGCATGCTTGACATATTGGAGGAACAGCCAGGAGCCCAGTGGATTGGAGAGCACAGCCACTATAAGGACTTGGTTTGAGTGGAACAGGAAACCCGGGTGGGGCTTTGGATAAAGCAACGACTTGTCAAAAGTTCTTGAGTTTCCACGGAATGCTCACGCAGGGGGCAGGTGGAGCATCCTGGTCCTGCGGATTCTGCTGATAAACCGGAGGCAAGACGGATGGCTGGCTGGGCCAGGTGGAGGCTTTCTGGAATGTAGCCTTGGGAGAATTGTGGATGCTGAGGCAGGTGGGCCCTGGCCTCGGGTCAGCTCATAGATGAGGGAGCGGTTGCTGGGCCGTGCAGATTGGCTTGATATCGTAAACCAACTGGATGAGGACAGAGATTGATGCTCTCCAGGGTCTCACAAGCTGAGCCACAGAAACACCCCGGCATCCAAGCCAGGAGATGGGAACGACCGGCTCCCACATCAGAGAATCAGCAACAAGTCAAGCTTTGTGAGGGGGAATCCAGGTGAAACCGTGTAGGTTTCACCATAAGTTACCAGCTACGAAGCCAAGCAAAATCATGATTGTCCCGGTGGAGCTTTAAGTGAGGGAGACCCTGAGGGGTTTGTGTCGATTACTTTGGACATTAACAGGCCCTGCTGGATGGAAGTGGCACAGGGCCAGCTATGTCCAGTGTAAGATGTGGTGGAGGCGTTGCCATTCCCTTTGTCCCAGGTGCTGTCTTGATTATGTTGATCCACAAAAACCATGATTACAGGGGCTTTCAGAGTTTCTTTTTTTTTCTTTTGTAGAGACGGGCTCTTGCCATGTTGCCTAGGCTGGTCTCCAACTCTTGGGCTCAAGAGATCCTCCCACCTTGGCCTCTCAAAGTGCTGGGATTCCAGGCGCGAGCCACCATGCCCAGCTCCGAGTTCCAACCCCAGCTTTCTGTCTTGCCCCTCCAAGCGCCCTTCCCCATGGGAAACTCTTTTTGTGCTCCGCGGATAAGAAGCTCTTCTTCCTTGAGGGTTTCAGGACAGAGGACACTGGGGAGAAGATACCTGTGTCTCTACTGGGCAGCTGCTCCAGTCAGTGGTGTCTGGTGGGGCCAAAGCCCTGCCTGGAGAGCAGAGAGCTGGACCCAACAGATGAACCTCCTGGGAAGCTGCATTCTTGATGGTAAATGAAGAGATCAGAACCTCACAGGGAGGAAACAGGCAATGCCAATGACACCTACATCTATGGCTTGAAGTGCAGAGAGAAAAGCACAGAAGAAAATATACTAAAACATGAGCAAGTTATATTTCCAGGGTGGGGGTTTATTGGTAATATTTTTTCCTTCCTTATAATTCATATGTATTCCAAGTATATATTTTTCCTATATCTCAAGTGCTCTGTAATGAGAGGAAAACAATGAAATTATTATATTTATAATTATAGTGGCAGAAAACGTAACTTGGTGTAAAGAAGAACTCCCTGAATGAATGGGGACTGACAAAAAAGGGGTCACCGGCCGGGCACAGTGGCTCACACCTGTGATCCCAGCCCTTTGGGAGGCTGAGATGAGAGGATCGCTTGAGGTCAGGAGTTGGAGACCAGCTGGGATAACACAGTAGACTCTCTCTCTCTCTCTTTTTTTTTTTTATGGAGTCTCTCTTTATTACCCAGGCTTGAGGGCAGCGGCACAATCTCGGCCCACTGCAACCTCCATCTACCAGGATCAAGTGATTCTCCTGCTTCAGCCTCCCGAGTAGCTGGGATTACAGGTGCACATCACCACATCTGGCTGATTTTTGTATTTTTAGTAGAGATGGGGTTTCACCATGTCGGCCAGGATGGTCTTGAACTTTTGACCTCAAGTGATCTGCCTGCCTCGGCCTCCCAAAGTGCTGGGATTACAGGCGTGAGCCCCCGTGCCCGGCCCAGACCATGTCTCTCTAATTTTTTTTTAAATGAGTCTTCAGTGAGGAGGCTCTGCCACCTCTCCGTCCTTGAGAGGGACACACACTGCAGTGCCTGGGAGGACTGGCACATGCTTAGAGGCCTGGGGGAGAGTGGTTCATCTCTCTTTAAAATTATTTTACTGTATTTTATTTTTTTAGAGACAAGGTCTCACTGTGTTGCCAAGGTTGGTCTCGAACTCCTGGGCTCAAGGGATCCACCCACCTCAGCCTCTCAGAGTGCTGGGATTACGGGCATGAGCCACAGTGCCTGGCCCATTTTTATCTATTTATTTATTTATTTTTATTATTTATTTATTTATTTATTGAGACAGACTTTTGCTCTTGTCGCCCAGGCTGGAGTGCAATGGCGCCGACCTCAGCTCACTGCAACCTCCACCTCCTGGGTTCATGGATTCTCCTGCCTCAGCCTCCGGAGTAGTTGGGATTACAGGCGTGCGCCCCCACGCCCAGCTAATTTTTATATTTTTAGTAGAGGCAGGGTTTTACCATATTGGTCAGGCTGGTCTCAAACTCCTGACCTCAGGAGATCCACCTGCCTCGGCCTCCCAAAGTGCTGGGATTACAGGCATGAGCCACTGTGCCCGGCCATTTTTTAATGTTTTTATAGAGTCAGGGTCTCACTATGTTGCCCAAGCTGGTCTCAAACTTCTGGGCTCAAGCGATCCTCCTGCCTTGGCCTCCCGAAGTGTTGGGATTAGAGGCGTGAGCCACCGCCCCCAGCCAAGTATGTCTATAACTGGGGAAGCCTAAACCATGAGCCACTGACTGTCTGTTCCCGGCAAAGTCCAGACGCTGAAGCTGTGAAAAGTCGGCTGGAATGAGCTCGGAGGCCCCTCCAGCATGGATCCTCTCGTTCCGGGTTCCCTGTGGGGTCAGGGCTACGGCCAAGATCTCTCACTCCAGATCCTCTGACTGTGTCCCAGTGCCCTGGTCACTGCTCTTCTGGGTTTGAAGGGTCTTGAGTGTTTTCATGGCCTCTTGTCAATAGAAGTATATTTTCTGCCCTTTCCCAGACTGTCCCAGGAGAGACTTCTCTGCCCTCTTCTCCTTCTGAAACAGTCCTGTGCGTCCCTACTCTGCTCAGCTTCATCCCAATAACTCAGGAAGCAGGAAACACTCAGGAAGGGCTTACTCAGCACTAAGCCCTGGGAAATAGAGGCGAGCAAGACAAGGTCCCCATCCTTATGGAACTTACTCGTAACGAAGAGAATTTCAAACGGTGAAAAATGTATGCGAAGCACCGGGGAGATAGGACAGTGAGTGGCTGTGCAGAGATACTCTAAATACATGGCCCAGCTCATCCTCTCTGAGCAGGTGACATTGGAATCAAGAATTTCATTTGCTGAGCACGGTGGCCCACACCTGTAATCCCAGCACTTTGGGAGGCTGAGGTGGGAGGATCACTTGAGCCCAGGAGTTCCAGACGAGCCTGGGCAACATGGAGAAACCTTGTCTGTACAAAAGATACAAAAATTAGGCCGGGCACAGTGGCTCATGCCTGTAATCCCAGCACTTTGTGAGGCCAAGGTGGGTGAATCACCTGAACTCAGGAGTTTGAGACCAGCCTGGCCAACATGGTGAAACCCCGTCTCTACTAAAAATACAAACATTAGTCGGGTGTGGTGGTGGGTGCCTGTAATCCCAGCTACTCGGGAGGCTGAGGCGGGAAAATCGCTTGAATCCAGGAGTCGGAGGTTGCAGTGAGCCGAGATCGTGCCACTGCACTCCAGCCTGGGCAAAGAGTGAGACCCCATCTAAAAAAAAAAAAAAATTAGCCGGGCGTGGTAGTGTGCACCTGTACTCCCAGCTACTCCTGAGGCTGAGGTGGGAGGACCCCCTGAGCCCAGGAGGTTGAGGCTGCAGTGAGCTGTGATCACACCACTGCACTCCAACCTGGGTAACAGTGAGACTGTCTCAAATAAAAAGAAAGGATATTTCATGATACTTCTCTGTTGATGTGTGTCCCTCCCTTTGTCTGATGGGGTCTGTGTCTTAGTACACATATCTCAGAGGTCGCATAGTGCCTGGTACATAGACAGAGCTTGCAGATGTGAATTGAATGCATGGATGGACAGTGAGACCGTGGAGGGGATGGTCCAACCATCCTCTGCACTGTTCAGACCCATGAGGAGCTCTGAGTCCAGGTCCAGGGAGGCAGATTCCTCCCCAGAACCCCTCGACTTATCACCGAAGAGTGCATAGGAGACTGGAGAGGTTGAAGAGCTTGCCCCACTGCACAGCCAGCTGGGCGGCATAGCTCCCTGGTGAGCTCAGCACAGCAGTGGGAAACAGAGGTGAAGGGCAGAGCCTTGAACTTGGCTGTGTTCTCTACCCACTGTGTGACCTCAGGCAACTCACCCAGCTCTCCAGCTTTGAGAGTTGGGTAACTTGCCCGACTCTCATTGGGCACCTACCTCATTGAGTTCTGTAAGGATTAAATCGAGATAAAATATGTAAAGAACTCAGCAGGCAGGTGGGCTGAGAAAAAGGGAGCAGCCAGCATGTCTGTTTCTGCAGTGCCTCAGGCACCAGGGCCTGCCAGTGGCCACAGAAATGGAGTTGACCTCACCGGCTCCCTTCCAGTCTCCCAGGCTGTGGGGCAGTGACAACCCCAAGCAGGAGGCTGGAGGCACAGACTTCCAAGAAGGAGGAGACGAGGCATGCTGGTACATTTTCCACCTTACTCCAACCCTTCACCCACATCCTGACTTCTTCAAAAGAATTATTGTATAAACAATATAAAGGCATTAAAAAAAACTGCAAAGGAAAAACGAACCACCTATGATCTCAGCATTCGAGCCCAACAAGGTTGTTTTCTTCCTGTCTAGTTCTTCCAGCTTGTCCAGGCATGTACATATTTTATTTCGCTGTAGTCAGAGTCATTATTTATTTTTTGCTTGTGTAATATTTTTATCATAAATGTTCATTCACAATCCTGTAGTCTTCATAAGTAGAATTTTTTTTTTCCCCCTTCAGGACAGAGTGTTGCTCTCGTCGCCCAGGCTGGAGGGCAATGGCGCAATCTCGGCTCACTGCCACCTCCGCCTCCCGGGTTCAAGGGATTCTCCTGCCTCAGCCTCCCAGTAGCTGGAACTACAGGCGTGCACCACCCCATGCCCATCTAATTTTTGTATTTTTAGTACAGACAGGGTTTCGCCATATTGGCCAGGCTGGTCTCAGACTCCTGGCCTCAGGTGATCCACCTGCCTCGGCTTTCCAAAGTGCTGGATGACAGGCGTGAGCCACTGCGCCTGGCCCATAAGTAGAATTTTTAATGGCAACCTGATATGCCACCAAGCTGATGCGCCATCAGTTATTTCTTCATTATTCTCTTGCTGGATATTTTCTTCTTTTTGCTGTTGAAGGACAACATATTTATACATAATTTTAATTTATTTACTTACTTATTTTTGAGACGGAGTCTCAGTGTATTGCCCAGGCTGATGTGCAGTGGAGTGATCTCGGCTCACTGCAACCTCCACCTCCTGGGTTCAAGCGATTCTCATGCTTCAGCCTCCTGAGTAGCTGGGACCACAGGCATGTGCCTTCACACCCAGCTAATTTTTGTATTTTTACCAGATAAACGGTTTCACCATGTTGGTCAGGCTGGTCTCGAACTCCTGGCCTCAAGCGATCCACCTGTGTTGGCCTCCCAAAGTGCTGGGATTATAGGCGTGAGCCACCGCACCCGGCCCCAAATTCTTTATGGCTACATTGCTCCCCAGAGTGGAATAATTTACACTTTTCTAGCAGCATGTGAGTACCTTCCAACCAACTCGGCACGGGCTTTTGTGCTGTTGATATGGTTGCATCTTGTCAGTTTCATCTGGTACAGTGTGGTGTTATTCACTGTTGAACTTCCTCTCGAATAAAATTTAGTTCATATTTTTTGCTCATTATCAGTTTTTGTTTTTGTTTGAGACAGGGTCTGGTTCTGTTGCCAGGATGGAGTGCTACGGTGCGATCTCAGCTCACCGCAGCCTTGATCTCTCAGGCTCAAGTAATCCTCCTACCTTAGCCTTCTGGGTAACTAGGACTACAGGCATGTGTCACCAGGCCTAGGTAATTTAAAAAAAAAATGTGGCCAGGCATGGTGGCTCACGCCTGTAATCCCAGCACTTTGGGAGGCTGAGGCGGGCAGATCATAAGGTCAGGAGATCGAGACCATCCTGGCCAACATGGTGAAAACCTGTTTCTACTAAAAATACAAAAATTAGCTGAGCATGGTGGCACATGCCTGTAGTCCCAGCTACTTGGGAGGCTGAGGCAGGAGAATTGCTTGAACCCGGGAGGCAGAGGTTGTAGTGAGCCAAGATCACACCACTGCACTCCAGCCTGGGCAACAAGAGCAAAACTCCGTCCCCAAAAAAAAAAAAAAATGTTTAGTAGAGACGAGGTCTCATTATGTTGCCCAGTCTGGCCTCAAACTCCTGAGCTCAAGTTGATCCTCCCACTTCAGCCTCCCAAAGTGCTGGGATTACAGGTCTGAGCTACCATACCTGGCCTAGCTTATCAGTCTTATTAGCTATTTATGAACCTTGTCTTTTGTCATTATTTGCTGCAAGCTCTTCCTCCAAATCTTTTTCTTTTTCAAAATTATATTTTTAAAAAGTTATAAAAGCAATACATGTTTATGGTAGAAAATCTGAAAAATAGAGAAAAAGTCATAAAATATATGCCACCACTTAAAATTAACCTTTATTATCCTGTTTGTCTGTCTGTTTTTGAGACAGGGTCTGGCACCGTCCCCCAAGCTGGAGTGTTGTGAGTGTGGTTCCCAGCAGCCTTGAGCTCCTGGGCTCAACGATCCTCTGGCATGAGCCGCTGTGCCTGGTGTTATTATCCTGTTTCAAAACCAGCTGTGAAAAGATAATTTGACCCTATTGGGAAATGAAGATATGGACTGGTTGTTGGATGATACTGAGGAATTTTTGTTAGTTTTGTTGAGGGCGTAATAGCAGGGTAGATGTATGTTTTCAAAATCCCTTATCAGTTTACATGCTCACTGGAATATTTACAGGAAAATTCATGTGACGTCTTGGCTTTGCTTTTAAAAACTCCAGCACACACACAAAAATAAATAAATGATTGGGGAAAATTAGATAAAACCAAATTGGCAGTATTTGTTGATACTAGATGATGGATATATGAGTATTCATTTCATTGTTCTCTCTACTTTTACGTACATTTGAAGTTTTCTGTGACTTACGTTTAAAAGTTATCTTCTCAGGAGGACTCCCAGGCTTAGCTTGCCTAAAATTCCAATCCCATCTCCTTGGCTGACTTTCATACTCCTCACTCCTGCTTTGTTTTTCCTCCTTAGCATTTCATCACGACCTGCCACGCTAAACGCGTTCTTAGGTATCTGGTCATCTTGGCTTCTTACCTCTCCCCAACTGGAATGTGAACTCCCTCAGGAAGGAATTTTACTGTTTTCTTCCCGCCCTTGCTATCAACAGTGCCTGAGTATTCAAATCATTATCACATGAAAAACAAACTCACTGTTAACATTTTTCTTCGGTTTTTTGTTTTTTTCTGAGACAGGCTCTCACTCTGTCACCCAGGCTGGAGTACAATGGCATGATCTCGGCTCACTGCAGCCTCAACCTCACAGGCTCAAGAGATCCTCCCACCTCAGCCTCCTGAATAGCTGGGATTGTAAGCACGCATCGCAATATTCGGCTAATTGTTATTTTCTGTAAAGACAGGGTGTCACTCTGTTGCCCAGGCAGGAGTGCAGTGGTGCCATCACGACTCACTGCAGCCTCAACCTCCGAGGCTCAAGCGATCCTCCCACCCCAGCCTCCCACCTCAGACTGTAGTCATGAGCCACCATGCCCAGCCAATAAAAACTTTAAAAGACCTTTCTAAACCATCAAGGTTGGAGGCATTAAGGATTTTTGTTGTTGTTACTGCTCATTTCTTTTTTCTTTTTTCTTTTTTTTTGAGACAGAGTCTCACCCTGCCCCCCAGGCTGGAATACAGTAGAGCGATCTCAGCTCACTGCAACCTCTGCCTCCTGGGTTCAAGTGATTCTCCCGCCTCAGCCTCCCAAGTAGCTGGGATTACAGGTGCCCACCACCATCCCCGGCTAATTTTTGTATTTTTAGTAGAGACGGGGTTTCACCATGTTTGCCAGGCTGGTCTCGAACTCCTGACGTCAAGTGATCCACCTACCTCGGCCTCCCAAAGTGCTGGGTTTACAGTCCTGAGCCACGGCGCCCGACCATCATTTCTTAACGAGCATACATTAAAATTTCCAGGCAGTCAAACTTAGTGACTGCTTTACAAACATGAAATATCACACCAATATTTAAAGAAATGAGCAAAACCTGTTTTTAAAAATTTACACACACCAAAAACGACATGGAAAACCTAGGCCCACTTTTAGGATCGCCCTCTAGACAAAACAAATAAGGAAAGGCTAATCTTTGAGGAAAATATCCTATAAAATATACCTGAGGGGAGAAAGCCCCTATCATGAAGAAATGGTTAGAGCTATTCTGTTTCCCTTGTGGTACTTTTATCACTCTTTAAGAGAATCCATCACAGGCCTTCAATCTCTAGCCAGCCTAGACACAGATGTGCGTGGGCCGACCCAGCAAGGGGCAGGAGGAAAACCCCTCTGCTTCCTGTCCCCGGCTTCTCCCACTTACTCCCCCGCCCCCCACCTCTGCCCGTCTAATGGTTCCCTGGGCCGACTCGGTCGCCCTGCCAGCCTGTCCTCCTTCACTCAGGCACACACTGTTTCCACGCCCGGGAGCCTGGCTCACTTGCAGAGCTATAAAAACAGACATCCACCAGGCACGGTGGCTCACGCCTATAATCCCAGCACTTTGGGAGGCCAAGATGGGTGGATCACCTGAGGTTAGGGGTTCGAGACCAGCCTGGCCAACATGGTGAAACCCCATTTCTACTAAAAATACAAAAAACTAGCCTGGCATCATGTCATGCGTCTGTAATCCCAGCTACTTGGGAGACTGAGGCAGGGGAATCGCTTGAACCCGGGAGGCAGAGGTTGCAGTGAACCGAGATCACACCACTGCACTCCAGCCTGGGCAACAAGAGCAAAACTCCATCTCAAAAAAAAAAAAACAAAACAAAAACACTCAGACATCAGGCTGGCCGCCGTGGCTCATGCCTACAATCCCAGCACTTTGGGAGGCCGAGGCAGGGAGGATCCCTTAAGCCCAGGAGTTCAAGATCAGCCTGGGCAACACGGCGAGGCCCCGTCTCTACTAAAAATACAACAAAATTAGCTAGGTGCAGTGGTGCTTGTGGTGGTCTCAGCTACTTGGGAGGCTGAGGTGGGAGGATCACTTGAGCCCAGAAGGCAGACAGAGGTTGCAGCACTGCACTCCAGCCTCGGTGACAGAGTGTGACTCCAAGTCACAGGAAAACCCAACAAAACACAGACGCCGCCCCCACCTGCTTTGCCCGACTCTGCAGAGTCCCACCCGGATGATCTGGGGGAGGGAAGGAGTTTGTCTTTTTCGAAGCCCTCTGTGGTTTTCGGATGAGCGGATTTAGGGACAGTCTGCACATGTCTTTCACTCCTGCTATGGACCCCAGAACCCACCACAGTGCCTGGCTAAATTGCACGTGCTTAAATAAATATGGAACAAATGAACCAACTGACCTCTTTTGATGTTCCCAGCCATTCTGTGAGGCAGAGGATCAAATGGGTATTATTGTCCCCATTTGACAGAGGCCCAGAGAGGTGACAGGAATTCCCCAAGGTCACAGATGGAGGGGCCCGAGGCTGCCTCCCACTACCAGGCTGATTTCCAGAGGCTTAAGGTGGGGGCTGAGTTTAAGGAGGGGAAAAAGAAAAACACATCCCCTTACCTAGTGGGTAGAGAGGAGTAGGGGCAAGGGAGAGAAAAGAGGAAACGAAAGAAGAGGGGAAAGAGGAAAGAAGAAGGGGAAGGTTAGAGATGCCTAAAAGCATGGAACTGGAGGAAAGACATCAAAATAACAAAGAGCAAGACTAGCCGCGTGGTGGCTCACGCCCGTAATCCCAGCACTTTGGGAGGCCAAGGTGGGCAGATCATTTAAGGTCATGAGTTCAAGACCAGCCTAGCCAACATGGTGAAACCCTGTTTCTACTAACAATACAAAAAAATTAGCTGGGCGTGGTGGTACATGCCTGTTATCCCAGCTACTCGGGAGAGTGAGGCAGGAGATTCACTTGACCCTGGGAGGCAGAGTTTGCAGTGAGCCGAGATCATGCCACTGTACTCCAGCCTGGGTGACAGAGTGAGAGTCCTTCGAAAGAGAGAGAGAGAGAAAGAGAGAGAGAGAGGAAAGAAGGAAGGAAGGAAAGAAAAGAGAGAGAGAGAGGGAGGGAGGGAAGGGAGGGAAATGAGGGAAGCTAAGAGGGGGTTGGGCTGCAAATCCTATCTCTGGGCAGCGGGTCTGGGCCCCTCGTCCCTGCAGCAGGTCTGGGCCCCTCGTCCCTGCAGCGGGTCTGGGCCCCTCGTCCCTGCAGCGGGTCTGGGCCCCTCGTCCCTGCAGCAGGTCTGGGCCACTCTTCCCTGAGTTTGATGCTTGGTTTGGAGTCAGGGCTCTGAGCCCAGAGTCCCTGTGGAAAACACATCCCTCCACTGACTATGGCCTCTGTCCCACAACCTCCCCCCTCCCCAGGCCTGTGTGTGTTTAGACAGCTTGCCCTGCATTTTTAGAACAATTTTTAACTTGTAGGCTGTACCTGCGGAACCAGAATGTCTGGCCAAGACCTGTTACCTAACAGCCTCAGACCATTTGGGTGCCAACAGCAACTGCAGCTCTGGCCCAAGCCAGGTGTGGGCTGACCTAGCCAGGGAGCGGGGAAGTGAAAGGAATGGGTCCCTTCCCACTCAGAGGGCGGAGCCCCCACTTCTGGTGAGAGAAAGCTGAGCAGAATGGATCTAATCTGATTCCTCCACCCAGAAGCCCTTAAAATGCAGCTTTGTTTTAAGCCTTCTTGAAGATTTGGGCTAGATCTAGAAAAGAACCTCACCACGGAGGATGTGCAAAGTACAACACGTGACCCCGGAGACGGAAGCTCTTCTCTACCTCCGTAAAGATGATCTCTGATGAACAGACATGATCATGCCTGGAGAACAGGGATGGACAGTCCCGCTTCTGAAAGACCCTGTCTGGCTGATGATTCATGGTGCGCCGGGCAGACCCCAGGCCAAGAGACCCCACCCACAGTACCTGAGTGCTCAGCTGGGAACCAGACCAGACCTCAAAACAGGTTTGCAGAATTAAGATGAGGAGCTGAGCTCAACACAGCCTCCGCAGCTCCCCAGGGCGGGCCTGAGCCGAGGGAGAGCCCATGGCCATCAGGGTGCTGGAATGCATGTCACACTGCATTACGTGCATTACGATCCACGCTGCAATGACAGCCCAGAGCGTGGAGAACCCAGAGAGGGTGGGGAGATGGAATCCCGGCGAGCCAGCGCTGGCAGGGACCACGGGGAGCAGCTGGTCCAGCCGCCGGTTTTCCAAGAGAGAAGACTAAGAAGTGAGTCACTTGCCCACAGCCACAGAGAGAAGGAGGGCAACGAGGCCGGCAGGTCAGCAGCGAGCAGTTAGTTCAAGGCCTTGAGGGCTTCCACTAACTTTGAAGGGCGAGGATGGGCGGAGCTCTGGAGGCCGCCGGGGTAGGTTCGAGGGGAGTGTTCAAGAAGCCTCTTTTTTTTTTTTTTTTTTTTTTTTTTTTTTTTTTTTGAGACGGAGTCTTGCTCTGTCACCCAGGCTGGAGTGCTGTGGCGTGATATCGGCTCACTGCAACCCCCACCTCCCAGGTTCAAGAAATTCTCTTGCATCAGCCTCCGGAGTAGCTGGGATTACAGACACCCGCCACCACACCCGGCTAATTGTTGTATTTTTAGTAGAGACGGGGTTTCACCATGTTGGATAGGCTGGTCTCAAACTCTTGACCTCAGGTGATCCACC
Source organism: Homo sapiens (assembly GCF_000001405.40). Taxonomy (NCBI): domain Eukaryota; kingdom Metazoa; phylum Chordata; class Mammalia; order Primates; family Hominidae; genus Homo; species Homo sapiens. Next base: position 196,143,705 of record NC_000003.12, read on the forward strand.
CGCCTTGGCCTCCCAAAGTGTTGGGATTACAGGCCTGAGCCACCACAACAAGCCAAGAAGCCCTTTTTGTAGAGTTCTAATCCTGGGTCTGCGGCTGAGCCATGGTTGTGTTCACAAAGCAGAGCAATCAACCGGGCATAGGGATGGACCTCCTGGGGCCAAAATGGCGGCTGACATCTCCACCCTGACCTTTCTTCTCAGGTTCCCAAGGTTACCACCCAACCCTGCCAACTTTCGCACCCCGCAAGGAGCAAGACCCCGCCCGCTCACCACCTGCCTGTGCAGCCAACGGGCCTCGCTGAGCTGCCCTGGGCCGCTCCCTCCATTCACACAGTTGGCCCTCCCTCTCCCTGCCTCCCTTCGCCTACCCCACGAACTACTTCATCCCTCTGGGCCGGCACTGTAGAAGCCCCATTGTTCACATCGACCTCCCAATTATCTCCTCTTTCCCTCTCCCTCTGCTCCTGCCCAGACCAGCCCCCCAGCATTGACCTGGATGCCTGCCACAGCCTCCTCCCTGGTCTCCGGCCTCCCACCTCTGCTCCTCGGTCTCCTCTACCCAGCCAGTAACTGCAGAGAGCACTAAAGCACAGTCCTGGCATCTCACCCCCTTAACCCTGGCCACGGCTTCCCAGTGCCTCCAAGATAAAGCACCAACACCTGAGGACAGCAGGTGAGTCCTCCCGGAGCTAGCTCTCCCCCACCTTCCTGTCACCCTCTGCCCCAGGCTCTGCCCGTGCTGCTGCCCCCTGAACCCACACTTCCGTCTTTTGCTTTCCCTTTCCCTGGGATGCTCTTATACCCCCTGGCCCCCTGGGATATCTTCTCATCTGTTAAGTCTCAACCCAGAGCTGCTTCCTCTGGGAAACCCTCATTGGTCTCCTCGGGCAGAGGCTGGTGTTTTTCTCTCATGCGTCCTCGGGCAGAGGCTGGTGTTTTTCTCTCATGCGTCCTCGGGCAGAGGCTGGTGTTTTTCTCTCATATGCCTGCAACAGCCTGGGATTTCCTCTCTCAGCGCTTTTTTTTTTTTTAATCAAAAAAATTTCGACGGGGAGACAGGATCTCACTATGTTACCCAGGCTGGTTGTGAACTCCTAGCCTCAGGTGATCCTCCTGCCTCGGCCTCCCAAAGTGCTGGGACGACAGGCATGAGCCACCGTGTCTGGCCCTCTCAGCACTCGCTACCGAGGGTGTTCTAATACTTCATTCGCCTGCTGTGGGAGGCAGCCTCTAAGATGACGCTCAGTGATCCCTGCCTCTTGGTATTTCCTGTGTAAAACCGTCCCCTTGAATGTGGGCTGGGCTAATTGACTCACTTTTTAATTTATTTTTCAGAGACAGTTTTAAATTTATTTTTCATTCTATTGCCCAGGCTGGAGCACAGTGGCATAATCATAGCTCACTGCAGCCTCAAACTCCCGGGCTCAAGTGATTGCCCACCTTAGCCTCCCTAGTAGCCAGGAATCCAGGCGCACACCACCACGCCTGGCTCTGATTGACAGACGCACACCACCACACCTGGCTCTGATTGACAGGCACACACCACCACACCTGGCTCTGATTGACAGGCACACACCACCACACCTGGCTCTGATTGACAGGCGCACACCACCACGCCTGGCTCTGATTGACAGGCACACACCACCACAGCTGGCTCTGATTGACAGGCACACACCACCACGCCTGGCTCTGACTGACAGGCGCACACCACCACGCCTGGCTCTGACTGACAGGCGCACACCACCACGCCTGGCTCTGACTGACAGGCGCACACCACCACGCCTGGCTCTGACTGACAGGCGCACACCACCACGCCTGGCTCTGATTGACAGGCACACACCACCACAGCTGGCTCTGATTGACAGGCACACACCACCACGCCTGGCTCTGACTGACAGGCGCACACCACCACGCCTGGCTCTGATTGATTCACTTCAAACCAGGAGAATCTGTAACTGCCCATGTGCTCTTCTTGCCCAATGCCCAGTTAGAGCTGATTTATTACAACAGGGGAATTGCAATAGAGAAAGAGTTTAATACACGTAGAGCCAGCGAAATGGGAGACCAGAGTTTTATTATTACTCAAATCAGCCTGCCCCAAAATTCAGAGGCGAAGGTCTCTTAAGGAGAGTTTGGTGGGCAGGGAGCTATGGGACGTGTGCTGCTGATCAGCTGGGGGGGCAATCACGGGGGTGTGGAAATTGGCCCTTGTGCTCTGAGGCAGCCTCTGGGTAGTGGCCACAGAGGAGCTGCTGGTTTGGGTGGGGCCTTCCGGTCATCAGTAACCTGAAACCCTGAAAAGAGATCTCAAAAGGCCAATCTTAGGTCTTACAGTAGTGATGTTATTTACAGGAGTCATTGGGGAAGTTGCAAATCTTGTGACTTCTCATGGGAATCATCTCACAGCACCCACATATTCGCGGAATTCATGCCCCTTTCCTCCTCTTAACCCAGTGGCCTTTGGAATAGTGGCTGGGAATCATCTCACGGCACCCACATCTTCGTGGAATTCATGCCCCTGTCATCCCCCTAACCCGGTGGCCTTTCATTAGTTTTACAAAGGCAATTTAGTTTTGGAAAGGGCTATTATCATTTAAACTATAAACTACATTTCTCCCAAACTTAGCTTGGCCCACACCTGTGGATGACCAAGGGCACCAGCCTGAACAACACGGTGAAGCCCCTCATCTACTAATAATACAAAAATTACCCGGGCGCTGTGGCGTGCCCCTGTAGTCCCAGCTACTCAGGGGGCTGAGGCAGGAGAATGGCATGAACCCGGGAGGCGGAGCTGGCAGTGAGCCGAGATCACACCACCGCACTCCAGCCTGGGCGACAGAGCCAGACTCCGTCTCAAAAAAAAAAAACAAAAAACAAGCAGTGAATGTGGATCTAAACAAAATCACAACGTAACTCAATCAGGAGGAAGAGAAGGGCAGAGAGTTTCTGTGTGGTGGGGACAGGGAGAACAAAAATGAGCTACATCCTCATTGTTCACAGTGAAAACTCAATAGATTTATCTCAGGCTGGGCACAGTGGCTCACACCTGTAATCCCAGCACTTCGGGAGGTTGAGGCCGGCTGACCACTGGAGTCCAGGAGTTCGAGACCAGCCTGGGCAACATAGGAAGACCCCGTCTCTACAAATAATTTTAAAAATTAGCCAGGTGTGGTGGTGCATGCCCGCGGTCCCAGCTACTCAGAAGGCTGAGGTAGGAGGATACCTGAGCCCCTGGAGGTCGAGGCTGCAGTGAGCTAAGATCACACCACTGCACTCCAGCCTGGGCGACAGAGAGAGACCTGTCTGAAAAAAAAAAAAAAGAATCATCTGAAAAAATTGACAGTGGTTGAAAATCATTGACATGAGGCCAACTAATTAACAGAAAAAAGGCATAAAACTAATTTACATGCACATAGGGAGAGTCAGGGTGCCTGCGCCCCAGTGGGGTTCAGAAGCTCATACAGCATCCTGGCAGCACAGTTTATGGGAGGCAGGAAAAGAGGGGGATAAAGGATTACTAGGGAAAGTAAATGGATCTAGGAACAGAGATCAGTTTACATACTATTTTGTGGAAAGTTCTGTTCAAGTTTGGTTACATTCCTGGCTTTACAAATAATTGCTCCTTGTGGGTCTGGAACTTGACCAATTAAAAAACTTCAACTTCTTTGGGGAAAGGTCAGAGAGACCTCAAGGCTTCTTCGGTCCCATATGTCAAAGCACCATATTCTGGGGTATTGGTTTCTGAGTTCCAGCACCTGTAAGGAGTAGAAAAAGGAGTCTGAGTTGCAAAGGATGGGGGTTTTCACACCAAGTAAACTCATAAAACTATGTTCAAGTATAACTCTATTACAAATTAAAATACAAATCTACCACGGCTGGGCACAGTGGCTCACGCCTGTAATCCCAACACTTCGGGAGGCTGAGGCGGGCAGATCACCTGAGGTCAGGAGTTTGAGACCAGCCTGACCAACATGGAGAAACCCCGTCTCTACTAAAGATAGAAAAATTAGCCAGGCACGGTGGTGTGCACCTGTAATCCCAGCTACTCGGGAGGCTGAGGCAGAGGAATTGCTCGAACCCAGGAGGTGGAGGTTGAAGTGAGCCGAGATCGCACCACTGCACTCCAGCCTGGGTGACAGAGCGAGACTCTGTCTCAAAAAAAAAAAAAAATCTACCACAATGTCTACATATGGAAGGTGCTCCAAAAGCGTGAACCATTAGAATTCCTATGGAATGACGTTTTCATCAAACAGCTTTTGCTATACTTACAGGTGGATGTGATTGCAAACAACAAAGCCTGAACTCAGATGGGGAAAGAATCAGTGGGGATCATATTGTGTCATGTCCAAGAGGTTCACAGATCAAATTCAGGCATGGCTGGATCCAGGCGTTCACAGCGTGCCAACAGAGATCTTGCTGTCTCCATTTCTTGGCTCCATTCACTGTGTTGACTTTGCTCTCAAACAGGCTCCTCTCAGACCTTAGCACACTGGCCTCCAGCGGTTGCAGGATTCTATACTGCTGGCTTAGTGCTCCCAACAGAAAAAGAGTGTCTCTACTTGGTAGTTGCAACCAAATGCCTCAGATAGACACTGACATGGTTTGGCTCTGGGTCCCCACCCAAATCTCCAGTTGAGTCCTAATCCTCAGTGTTGGAGGTGGGGCCTGGTGGGAGGTGGTTGGATCATGGGGTGGATTTCTCATGAATGGTTTGGCACCATCCTCTCGGTGCTGTTCTCCATAGTGAGTTCTCGAGAGATCTGGCCGTTTGAAAGTGTGTGGCCCCACCCCCTCGCTCTCTCTCTTGCTTCTGCTCCTGCCGTGTGAAGTGCCTGCTCCCGCTTCGCCTTCTGCCATGATTGGAAGTTTCCTGAGGCCTCCCCAAAAGCCGGGAAGAGGCCAGCGTCATGCTTCCTATGCAGCCTGCAGAACTGTGAGCCAATTAAACTTCTTCTTTTTTTTTTTTTTGAAACGGAGTTTCAAAAAAACAACGGAGCTCTTGTTGCCCAGGCTGGAGTGCAATAGTGCAATGGTTGGGATTACAGGCATGCACCAACACGCCTGGCTAATTTTTGAATTTTTAGTAGAGTACAGACGAGGTTTCACCATGTTGGTCAGGCTGGTCTCGAACTCCCAACCTCAGGTGATCTGCCTGCCCCAGCCTCCCAAAGTGTTGGGATTACAGGCGTGAGCCACCACATCTGGCCAATTAAAATGATTTCTTCTTTTCTTTATAAATTACACCGTCTCAGGGTTTTTTTTGTTTTGTTTTTTGTTTTTTGTTTTTAGACGGAGTCTCACTCTGTCTCCCAGGCTGGAGTGCAGTGATGTGATCTCAGCTCACTGCAACCTCCGCCTCCTGGATTCAAGCGATTCTCCTGCCTCGGCCTCCCAAGTAGCTGGGACCACAGTCACACACCACCACGCCTGGCTAATTCTGTATTTTTAATAGAGACAGGGTCTCACCATGTTGGCCAGGATGGTCTCGAACTCCTGACCTCAGGTGATCCGCCTGCCTCAGCCTCCCAAAGTGCTGGGATTACAGGCGTGAGCCACCGCACTCAGCCAGTCTCAGGTATCTTTTTACACCAGTGTGAGAACAGACTAATACAGACACTCATTGATCTGGCTTGGGTCACATACCCACCCTTGAACAGATTGCCGTGACCAAGGGAATAGAGCACTTGGATTGGCTAAATCCCAGTCCTAAGCCGACCGCTGGAACCACGGACAAAGTGGGGGCAGAGTGGTCTCACAAAGAAAAATATGGATGCTTTTATTAGAAAGAGAGAAGACGCTGCAAAACCAACAGGTCTCCCCTGTGTCTGAAGACTGAGACTAGGCCAGGCACGATGACTCACACCTGTAATCCCAGCACTTCGGGGGGCGGAGGCAGGCGAATCACTTGAGGTCAGGAGTTCAAGACCAGCCTGGCCAACATGGCGAAACCCCATCTATACTAAAAATACACAAATTAGACAGATGTGCTTGTTTGAACCCAGGGAGTGAAGGTTGCAGTTAGCTGAGAGTGCGCCACTGCACTCTAGCCTGGGCAACAGAGTAAGACTCTGTCTCAAAAAAAAAAAAAAAAAAAAAGACTGAGACTGCTGTTTGCCTTCATCAGCACAGAAGCCGCTAGTTAGGAACCATTCTCCTAGCACACCCACTCCCTGTGCTTCACAAAAGCAGGTCAATGTTTACAGAAGTCCCCTCTTCCCACGTCTTCTCATCTTCAGGGGAAACTGTTGCGAGGAACAGAGGACTGGAGAGACCAATACGGGAAACAGGAGGATGTTTATTTAAGGTGCACCAGCTCAGAGGATTCGTATCCAAAAAGCTGAGCATTGAACAAAGTCAGGGTTTAGCTTATATAGGCCAGCGCAAAGGCTGTCAATCACACAGTGACAGCTTCTGTCATCTACAGCATAACTAGTGACTTGGCACAACCTGTGCCCTTGCATAGCGGGTAACCTTGCAGCTGAGGCAAAAGAAAACAGGAACTTACAAATCTGACTAAGTACAAGCATTGGCAAACATAGTCAGAATTATTAGTTCAGAGAAGGAGAGACAGTCAAGGAATTTGGTTTTGGGGATTTTTTGTTTTTCAACCATGCTCGGGGGTGTCTGGAGCCTATTCTTGCAGCTTTTGCTTCTCAGACTAGGTCACCGCGACCTTTTTATAGCCTTGCCTGTTACTATCCTTAAAGTAAATAAATGCAGTACTTATGTTTCTTTAAATTTCTGCCTCAAAACAACACTAATTCTCCTGATTGTCTTTCATGACAGTTTCCAGACCTCTCACTTTTCTGGCTGTCTTTCCTGGATGCTGAGTAATGTCAAATGTGGCACTAAAATTCAGCACCCAGGGCTGAATGAAGCTTCAGGTGTGCCCCGATCAGCCCAGAGGCCAGTGGCATGCTCAGCTCAATTCTGCTTGGCAGCAAAGCCACTTACAGATGCACTGGCTTTTCAAACGACTGAATGCATTGTTGACTCTTACTCAGCTTGCAGCCAATATCTTTTTTTATGTGAGCTGTCATCAAGCCAGGGATTCCTCATTCTCCATTGGTGCAACTGGCTCTTGAACCTACATCAAGAACTTTGTCCGTGTTCATTTCACATTGTAGGTCTTAGTGCATTTTTGCTGTTCTTTGAGGTGTTTTTGAATATAGATCCTGTCTTCAGTACTAACCATCTCTCCGGGTTTTGCACAATCTACCCATTTGAATGGAGACATTCTTAATTTTCATCCAAGAGGATAATAAAATAAATCAGGGTCAAGGTTAAAACTCACAACCAGGCGTGGTGGCTCATGCCTGTAACCCCAGCACTTTTGGGAGTCCAAGGCGGGCAGATCATTTGAGGTCGGGAGTTTGAAACCAGGCTGGCCAACGTGGTGGAACCCACCCCCCATCTCTACTAAAAATACAAAAATTAGCCGGGTGTGCTGGCATGCACCGGTAGTCCCAGCTACTCATGAGTCTGAGGCAGGAGAATGGCTTGAACCCAGGAGGTGGAGGTTACAGTGAGCCGAGATCGCGCCACTGCGCTCCAGCCTGGGCGACAGATCAAGACTCTGTCACAAAAAAAAAAAAAAAGAAAAGAAAAGGATAAAACTCTGTCCCACCACCCAAGCCCACGTGACATGTGGACAATAATTAGCATATTCTGGATGTGAAGCCAAATCCCTATGGAACAACCAAACTCTATTCGTTTTCCAGTTTTGCCATAACACGTAATCACAAACTAGATGGCTTAAAACAACAGAAATTCATTCTCTCACAGTTCTGCCATCAGAAGTCCTAAGTCAGCAGGGCCATGCTCCTTCTGAGGCTCTAGGGAAGAGTCCTTCCTAGCCTCCTTCTAGCTTTTCAGGGTTGTTGTGTATCCTTGATATTCTGTGGGCCGTAGCTCATCCTTCCATCCCTACCTCTATCTCCACATAGGGGTCCCTCCTCTTACAAGTCATTGAATATAGGGCCCACCCTAATCCATTATGAGTTTATCTTATTTGATTACATCTGCAAAGACCCCTATTTCCAAACAAGGTCACATGCCCAGGGACTAAGGGTTAGAACTTGAACATAACTTTTTGGAGAGCACAATTCAACCCACAACACAAGTAGGATCAGTTTCCGTCTTTCTGTCTCCTTGACCTCCAGGCTCTGAAGAGCATCTCCATCAGAAAACTTGCTGCAGCCTCGACCTCCTGAGTTCAAGTGATCCTCCCACCTCAGCCTCCCAAGTAGCTGGGACTACAGGTCCAGGCCACCATATTCAGCTAATTTTTTTATTTTTTGTAGAGATGGGGTCTCTGTTGCCCAGACTGGTCTTGAACTCCTTGTCTCAAGTGATCCTCCTCCTTTGGCTGGGATTACAGGTGTGAGCCACTGTGCCCTGCACTTGCTGACATCCAGATGGCCATAGGATTCCATGTACCCCTGGCCCCCAACACCAGTCAACCTGATCCACTAACCCAGTCTAGAGTGGTGGTTGTCAGCGGGAACTCTGTGTGGCTGCCCTCTCCCTTTCCAACTCTTTGAGATTCAGACAAAATCTGCCCTGGGGGAGGAGGCTGGAGACTCCTGGTTGTGGAGGATGCAGGCCATGGAGTGACTTGCTGAAGAGAATGGCGTGAGACAGACCTCAGTGACTTTGGGCTTACTCAGCCTCCCTTGCAACTCATTTTCTTCAGCTGTAAAATGTAAATAATAAAACCTATCCAGCTGGGCGCGGTGGCTCACGCCTGTAATCCCAACACTTTGGGAGGCTGAGGCAGGCAGATCACAAGGCCAGGAGTTCAAGACCAGCCTGGCCAACATAGTGAAACTCTGTCTCTACAAAAATACAAAAATTAGCTGGGCGTAGTGGTGGGAACCTATAGTCTCAGCTACTTGGGAGGCTAAGGCAGGAGAATTGCTTAAACCCAGGAGGTGGAGGTTGCAGTGAGCTGAGATCCGTCTAAAGAAAACCAAAAAGCAAAAAACCTATCACCTTTATGAGGATTAAATGACATCACATTTGTAAAGTGCTTAGCCCAGGCAGCCGTGAGTAGCAGTGGTCGTTGCCAATTGTTGCCGCTGTTAGCTGCTTGGGAGTCAGATAAAGCTAGATTTGAATCAGATCTTTTCTTTTGTTTTTTTTTTGAGGGACGGGGTCTTGCTTTGTTACCCAGGCTACAGTGCAGTGGCACCATCATAGCTTATTGTAGTCTCAAACTCCTGGGCTCAAGTGATCCTCCTGCCTCAGCCTCTCAAGTAGCTGGGACTACGGGCGTGTGCCACTGGCCCACCAACTATGAACCCAGATTTTCTTTTTAAAAATTGTTTTTTAATTTTTTTTTTTTTGAGACGGAGTTTCGCTTTTGTTGCCAGGCTGGAGTGCAATGGCACATCTCGGCTCACCGCAACCTCCGCCTCCCGGGTTCAAACGATTCTCCTGCTTCAGCCTCCTGAGTAGCTGGGATTACAGGCAGGCGCCACCACACCCGGCTAATTTTGTATTTTTAGTAGAGACGGGGTTTCTCCATGTTGGTCAGGCTGGTCTCAAACTCCCAACCGCAGGTAATCTGCCCTCCTCAGCCTCCCAAAGTGCTGGGATTATAGGCGTGAGCCACTGCGCTCGGCCCAGTTTTTAAATTTTTTGTATATTCTTCTCTTTTTTCCCCATAGGTTATTGGGGTACAGGTGGTATTTGCTCACATGAGTAAGTTCTTTTGTGGTGATTTGTGAGATTTGGGTGCACCCATCACCCGAGCAATATACACTGAACCCTATTTGTAGTCTTTTATCCCTCCCTCCCCCCACACTCTTCCCCCAAGTCCCCAAAGTCCATTGTGTCATTCTTTTTTGCTGTTGTTATTTTTTGTTTGTTTTTTGTTTTTGTTTTTGAGAGAGAGTCTCGCTCTGTCACCCAGGCTGGAGTGCAGTGGTGCAATCTTGGCTTATTGTAACCTCTGCCTCCCAGGTTCAAGCAATTCTCCTGCCTCAGCCTTCCATGTAGCTGGGATTACAGGTGCATGCCACCACACCCAGCTAATTTTTGTATTTTTAGTTGAGACGGGGTTTCGCCATATTGGCCGGGATGGTCTCGAACTCCTGACCTCAGGTGATCCGCCTGCCTCGGCTTCCCAAAGTGCTGGGATTACAGGTGTGAGCCACCACACCCAGCCTAGATGGCTTTTATTATATTGAGATGTGTCCCTTCTATGCCGATTTTACTGAGAGTTTTAATCATAAAGGGATGCTGGATTTTGTCAAATGCTTTTTCTGCATCTATTGAGATGATCGTGTGATTTTTGTTTTTAATTCTGTTTATGTGGTGTATCACATTTATTGACTTACATATGTTAAACCGTCCCTGCATCCCTGGTATGAAACCCACTTGATCATGGTGGATTATCTTTTTGATATGTTGTTGGATTCGGTTGGCTAACATTTTGTGAAGGATTTTAGCATCTATGTTCATCAGGGATATTGGTCTGTAGTTTTCTTTTTAGGTCAGTTTTCTTTTTGGTTTTCCTGGCTTTGGTATTAGGGTGATGCTGGTTTTAGAGAATGATTTAGGGAGCGTTCCGTCTTTCTCTATCTTGTGGAATAGTTTCAGTAGGATTGGTACCAATTCTTCTTTGAATGTTGGATAGAATTCTGCTGTGAATCCATCTGGTCCTGGACTTTTTTTTGTTGGTAATTTTTAAATTACCATTTCAATCTTGCTGCTTGCTGTTGTTCTGTTTGGGGTATCTAATTCTTCCTGATTTAAGCTAGGAGGATTGTATTTTTCCAGGAATTTACCCATCTCTTCTTGGTTTTCTAGTTTATGCATGCAAAGGTGTTCACAGTAGCCTTGAATCATCTTTGGCATTTCTGTGGTATCAGTTGTAGTATCTCCTGTTCCGTTTCTTAGTGAGATTATTTGGATTTTCTCTCCTCTCTGTTTTTCTTTTTCTTTTCTTTTTCTTTCTTCCTTTCTTTCTTTCTTTATTATTATTATTTTTTTGAGATAGAATCTCACTATTGTTGCCCAGGCTGGAGTGCAATGGCACGATCTCAGCTCACTGCAACCTCTGCTTCCTGGGTTCAAGCGATTCTCCCACCTCAGCTTCCCAAGTAGCTGGGATTACAGGCGCCCACCACCACGCTCAGCTAATTTTTGTATTTTGAGTAGAGCTGGGGTTTGGCCATGTTGGCCAGGCTGGTCTCAAACTCCTGACCTCAGGCGACCCACCTGCCTCAGCCTCCCAAAGTGCTGGGATTACAGGCGTGAGCCGCTGCGCCCGGCCCTCTTCTTTTCTTGGTTAATCTTGCTAATGGTCTATCAATTTTATTTATCTTTTCAAAGAAACAGCTTTTGGTTTCATTTATCTTTTGTAATTTTTTGTTTGTTTGTTTCAATTTCATTTAGTTCTGCTCTGATCTTGGTTATTTCCTTTCTTCTGCTGGGTTTGGGTTTGGTTTGTTCTTGTTTCTGTAGTTCCTTGAGGTGTGACCTTAGATTGCTTGTGCTCTTTCAGACATTTTTTTTTTTTTAGACAGAGTCTGGCTCTGTCGCCCAGGCTGGAGTGCAGTGGCGCGATCTCAGCTCACTGCAAGCTCCGCCTCCCGGGTTCACGCCATTCTCCTGCCTCAGCCTCCCGAGTAGCTGGGACTACAGATGCCCGCCACCGCGCCTGGCTAATTTTTTGTATTTTTAGTAGAGATGGGGTTTCACCGTGTTAGCCGGGATGGTCTCGATCTCCTGACCTCGTGATCCGCCCCCCTCGGCCTTCCAAAGTGCTGGGATTACAGGCGGGAGCCACTGCGCCCGGCCTCAGACTTTTTGACGTAGGTGTTTAGAGCCACGAACTTTCCTCTTAGCACTGCCTTTGCTGTGTCCCAGAAGTTTTGACAGGTTGTGTCACTATTGTTGTTCAGTTTGAAGAATTTTTTAATTTCCATCTTGAATTAATTTTTGACCCAATGATCATCCAGGAGCAGGTTATTTAATTTCCATGTATTTGCGTGGTTTTGAAGGTTCCTTTTGGAGTTGATTTCCAGTTTTATTCCACTGTGGCCATGAGAGAGTGCTTGATAGAATTTCAATTTTCTTATATTTATTGAGGCTCGTTTTGTGGCCTATCATATAGTCTATCTTGGAGAAAGTTCCATGTACTGTTGAATAGAATGTGTATTCTGCGGTTGTTGGGTAGAATGTTCTGCATATATGTTAAGTCCGTTTGTTTCAGGGTATAGTTTTAATCCATTGTTTCTTTGTTGACTTTCTGTCTTGATGACCTGTCTAGTGCTGTCAGTGGAGTATTGAAGTTCCCCACTATTACTGTGTTGCTGTCTATCTCATTTCTTAGGTCTATTAGTCATTGCTTTACAAATTTGGGAGCTCCAGTGTTAGGTGCATATATGTTTAGGATTGTGGTATTTTCCTGTTGGACAAGGCCTTTCACCATTATATACTGTCCCTCTTTGTCTTTTTTAAGTGCTGTTGCTTTAAAGTTTGTTTTGTCTGATGAAAGAATAGCTACCCCTGCTCACTTTTGGTGTCCATTTGCCTGAAATGTCTTTTTCCAGCCCTTTACCTTAAGCTTGTGCGGGTCCTTATGTGTTAGACGAGCATCCTGAAGGCAGCAGATAGTTGGCTGGCGAATTCTGACCCATTGTGCAACTCTGTGTCTTTTAAATGCAGCATTTAGGCCATTGGCATTCAATGTTAGTATTGAGATGTGAGGTAGCATTCCATTCATCGTGCTATTTGTTGTCTATATGGCTCGGTTTTTTGTTTTTATTTTTTAAATTGTGTTTTTGTTTCATACGTCCTGTGAGATTTATGCTTTAAAGAGGTTCTGTTTTGATGTGTTTCCACGATTTGTTTCAAGGTTTAGAGCTCCTTTTAGCAGTTCTTGTAGTGCTGGCTGGGTAGTGGCAAATTCTCTCAGCATTTGTCTGGAAAAGACTGTATCTTTCCTTCATATATGAAGCTTAGTTTCACTGGATACAAAATTCTTGGCTGATAATTGTTTTGTTTGAGGAGGCTGAAGATAGGACCTGAATCCCTTCTAGCTTGCAGGGTTTCTGCTGAGAAATCTGCTGTTAATCTGATAGGTTTTCCTTTATAGGTTACCTGGTGCTTTTGCCTCACAGCTCTTAGGATTATTTCCTTCGTCTTGACTTTAGATAACCTGATGACTATGTGCCTAGGCGATGATCTTTTTGCGATGAATTTCCCAGATGTTCCTTGAGCTTCTTGTATTTGGATGTCTAGGTCTCTAGCAAGGCCGGGCACGTTTTCCTCGATTATTTCCTCAAATATGTTTTCCAAACTGTTAGATTTCTCTTCTTCCTCGGGAACACCAATTATTCTTAGGTTTGGGTGTTTAGCATAATCCCAGAATCCTTGGAGCCTTTGTTCATATTTTCTTGTTCTTTTTTCTTTGTCTCTGTTGGATTGGGTTAATTCAAAGACCTTGTCTTTAAGCTCTGAATTTCTTTCTTCTGCTTGTTTGAGTCTATTGCTGAGACTTTCCAGAGCATTTTGCATTTCTATTAGGTGTGTCCAATGTTTCCTGAAGTTTTGATTGTTTTTCATTTATGCTGCCTATTTCCTGGAATATTTCTCCCTTCACTTCTTGTATCATTTTTTTCCTTACATTGGGGTTCGCCTTTCTCTGGTGCCTCCCTAGTTAGCTTAATAACTCACCTCCTGAATTCTTTTTCAGGTAAACCAGGGATTTTTTTCTTGGTTTGGGTCCATTGCTGGTGAGCTAGTGTGATTTTTTGGAGGTGTTAAAGAACCTTGTTTTGAGTTGGTTTTCTGGTTCCTTCTCATTTTGGTAGTCTCTGTCAGAGGGAAGGTCTAGGGCTCAAGGCTGCTGTTCAGATTCTTTTGTCCCACGGGGTGTTCCCTTGATGTAGCACTCTCCCCCTTTTCCTATGGATGTGGCTTCCTGAGGACAAGCTATAGCGATTGTTATCTCTCTTCTGGATTTAGCCACCCAGCACGTCTACCAGGCTCCAGGCTGGTACTGGGGTTGTCTGCACTGAGTCCTGTGATGTGAACTGTCTGTGTGAGTCTCTCAGCCATGGATACCAGCACAGTATTTGGGGTGTCTCATGGGTCCTGCAGGAGCGATCTGCTTCCTTCATGGGGTCTGTGGGTGCTCTCAGCTTTCCTGCTTTATTCCTGCAGTCATTCCAGAGCAAAAATTCACTATGTGAGTCTCCACAGCTGCTCTGTCCATCTGAGTCACAGCTGCAATCTAGTCCTGCCTCCCGTCCGCCATGATCCCTGTAACTCTCTATTTATTATTATTAATTATTATTACTGAGACAGAGTCTCGCTCTGTTGCCCAGGCTGGAGTGCAGTGGCACAGTCTCAGCTCACTGCAACTCCGCCTCCTGGATTCAAGGGATTCTCCTGCCTCAGCTTCCCAAGTAGCTGGGATTACAGGTGTGTGCCACCACGCCTGGCTAATTTTTCTACTTTTTGTAGAGACAGGACATTGCTTTGTTGGCCAGGCTGGTCTCGAACTCCTGACCTCAGGTGATCTGCCCACCTCAACCTCCCAAAGTGCTGGGATTACAGGCGTGAGACATGGCACCCGGCCTGAACCCAGATTTTCAACTGCCCCCTGAAGCAAATTTCTTTTTTTTTTTTTCACTTTGCTCATTTTATTTTATTCAATCCTCACAACAACCTAAGAGGTGTATTATAATCAGCACTAGTTTAAAAATATGAAAACTGAGGCTTAGAGACATTAAATAATATGTTTAAAGTCCTTGAGCTAATAGGCAGAGGAGCTGTGATTAAAAACCAGGTTTGATGACATAATGTCTACATTCTTAATCTGTGGTGTTGAATTTCCAAACACATTTAAGTAATTAAGTCCCATAATGTTTCACACACCACACAACTCTGAGAGGAGTTTCTCACAACACTCACTGCAGCCCTTCAGTTTCGGCATCTGTAAAACGAGACACCTGACTAACCCTTAGGCTGCTGTGAGCGCTCAGGTCACCCAGCATGGAGCCTGGAGTGAGAAACCTGTTACAGATGTTTGCTTCTTCCCTTCCCTTCTCCTGTGAATAAAAGGGGCTGTTCACCTGACATGGCCTACCCTTAGGAAACTCAAGGTGCCTCTTTTTTTTTTCTGAGACAGAGTCTTGCTCTATTGCCCAGGCTGGAGTGCAGTGGCACGATCTTGGCTCACTACAACCTCTGCCTCCCGGATTCAAGCTATTCTCCTGCCTCAGCCTCCCCAGTAGCCGGGACTACAGGCACACGCCACCACGTCTGGCTAATTTTTGTATTTTTAGTAGAGACAGGGTTTCACCATATTGGCCAGGTTGGTCTCGAACTCCTGACCTCATGATCCGCCTGCCTTGGCCTCCCAAAGTGCTGGGATTACAGGCATGAACCATGATGTCCAGCCATGACCACTCTCTTTTCTATGTCCCTGGGGAGAGACCTCGAATTTTATTTGGAGCCTGTCTTTATAAAGACTCTAAATTGTGGCCAGGCACAGTGGCTCATGCCTGTAATCTGAGCACTTTAGGAAGCCGAGGCGGGTGGAGGTCAGGAGTTAGAGACCAGCCTGGCCAACACGGTGAAGCCCCATCTCTACTAAAAATACAAAAAATTAGCTGCGTATGGTGCCGCACACCTGTAATCCCCAGCTACTTGGGAGGCTGAGGCAGGAGAATCGCTTGAATCTGGGAGGTGGAGGTTGCAGTGAGCCAAGATGACACCACTGCACTCCAGCCTGGGCAACAGAGTAAGACTCCATCTCAAAAAAAAAAAAAAAAGACTCTAAATAGTGTTTATATATGGTGTATATATATATATATATCTTTGATGTATATCTTTGTCCATCAGGTCAGCTTGTTCTTTCGAAACCCTCTCCAGTCACTAGTTTTGTTGTCGTTGTTGTTGTCTGAGACGGAGTTTCGCGCTCGTCACCCAGGCTGGACTGCAATGGCATGATCTTGGCTCACTGCCACCTCCGCCTCCCAGGTTCTAGCAATTCTTCTGCCTCAGCCTCCCAAGTAGCTGGGATTACAGGTGCGGGCCACCACACCCAGCTAATTTTTTGTATTTTGAGTAGAGACGGCGTTTCACTGGTTCAGTGTTTGTACGTGAGTGCGTTCCCACAAATGGCAGTGTGTGCTGTGCGTGGTTTGGTAACCTTCATTGTTTTACTCCACA
The DNA here is from genome assembly GCF_000001405.40 of Homo sapiens. NCBI lineage: Eukaryota > Metazoa > Chordata > Mammalia > Primates > Hominidae > Homo > Homo sapiens. Next base: position 196,159,899 of record NC_000003.12, read on the forward strand.
GCTTGTTTTGAGAGTCCCCTCCATTGAAACACGCACATCTAATTTGTCCTTCAGTTCGCTGGACTCCACGCTGAACGTGCCATGCTCCATTGCCCCGTGAGTAACTCCATGCTCTTGCCGGTTTCACACGGCCTCTCAGAGCTGGAGCCTTTGTTCAGGAGCCCTGGGCAGCTTTCAGGAAGCTCTTGGGCTCATCAGCTTCCTCTGGCTGAAGCCGCCCCAGTGGAATCATGGGGATTTCTTACTTTGAAGGTGGGGCCACCCGCAGACTGTAACCGGCTGGTTCAAGATCAAGGACTTCCCCAGGCCACCTGCCTCAGAGGCAAGAAAGGCTCAGCTGAGTCCCAGACACTCCTCGCTGTGGCCCCTCCTTCCTCCCTGCTGGGCAGGCCCCCCTCAATTCTGTTTGCCAGCAGGGCCTAGTAACACTGAAAGACGAAAAGGGAAATAAAATAAACACAATTAATAGGCTAAAGGTTACTGAATAAAGTGGCAGCAGTAAATAAATTGACTACTGTGCAAATACAAAGACATGAAGACATGAAACCCCTGCTCTAAATGACCACTCACCAAGAGCAAGGCCTGGGCTGGAGGCAGGGAGCACCTCCCTAAGGAGCACTCCCTCTTTCCCGGAGTGAGTCCTCCTTCTAGATGGAATTCAGTCCGGGTTCCTCTTGAGCCACAGTCCCTGTTGGGGCCTATCTCAGTGGACTCAAGATCCTGAACTTCTTCCAGATTGCTGACTACACATTTGAGTCACCCAGAGATTAAAAGAAAAAACAAATAATTTCCCAGTGATCAGGAGTAAATCAGCTGGGGCAGGGTTGGTGCTATGAATGACCACACTGATTTGTACACTTCACTGATTTGTAGTGTTTGCTATTTCCGTCGTGTAAATACTGCCAACATGGACAATCTTCAGTTGCTAATGGTTTACTAACTGGCTTGTAAATGAATTCATTCAGTATTCAAGAAAATGGCACTACATTTAGAAACATTTTGTAGCATTTCTTACTTTCTAAGAATTTCCAATAGACACCATGATCACTAAAAAATCATAACCAGGCTGGGGGCAGTGGCTCACGCCTATAATTCCAATAATTTGGGAGACCAAGGAGGGAAGATCACTTGAGGCCAGGAGTTTGAGACCAGCCTGGGCAACATAGCAAAGACTCCATCTCTACAAAAAAAAAAAAAAAAAAAAAAAAAAAAAGTTAGGCAGCTGGTGGCAGGCACCTGTGGTCCCAGCTATTCAGGAGGCTGAAGCAGGAGGATCACTTGAGCCCAGGAGGTTGAAGTTACACTGAGCCGTGATCACACCACTGCATTCCAAATAAAAACTAAATTAAAATATATATATATATATATATATATATTTTTTTTTTTTTTTTTTTTTTTTTTTTTTTTCTGAGACAGAGTCTAGCTCTGTGTCCAGACTGGAGTGCAGTGGCATGATCTCGGCAACCTCCACCTCCCAGGTTCAAGTGATTCTCCTGCCTCAGCCTCCGGAGTAGCTGGGATTACAGGCGTCTGCCACCACGCCCAGGTAATTTTTGTATTTTTGGTAGAGATGGGGTTTCACCATGTTGGTCAGGATGGTCTCGATCTCCTGACCTCGTGATCCACCCACCTTGGCCTCCCAAAGTGCTGGGAATACAGGCGTGAGCCACTGCGTCTGGCCTAAAATAAACTTCTAAAAAAGAAAAATTGGCCAGGCACAGTGGCTTATGCCTGTAGTCCCAGCACTTTGGGAGGTCGAGGCAGTTGGATCACCTGAGGTCAGGAGTTCAAGACCAGCCTGACCAACATGGTGAAACCCCGTCTCTACTAAAAATACAAAAATTAGCCAGGCATGGTAGTGGGCACCTGTAATCCCAGCTACTCAGGAGGCTCAGGCAGGAGAATTGGTTGCACCTGGGAGGTGGAGGCTGCAGTGAGCCAAGATCATACCATTGCAGTCCAGCCTGGGCGACAGAGCAAGACTTCGTCTCAAAAAAAAAAAAAAAAAGGGAAAGAAAAATTATAACCAATCGACATTCAATAAATTATTTATTGGCTGGGCGCAGTGGCTCATGCCTGTAATCCCAGCACTTTGGGAAGCCGAGGTGGGCAGATCACATGAGGTCAGGAGTTCGAGAGCATCCTGGCTAACATGATGAAACCCTGTCTCTACTAAAAATACAAAAATTAGGTGGGCATGGTAGTGCGAGCCTGTAGTCCCAGCTACTTGGGACGCTGAGGCTGGAGAATCATTTGAACCCGGGAGGCAGAGGTTGAATGAGCCAAGAATGGCATCACTGCTCTCCAGCCGGGACAACAGAGCAAGATTCTGCCTCAAGGAAAAAAAAATTCAATAAGTTATTTATTTGTCAAATAATTTATAAAGCAGCTTTCTCAAAGCCCTTTCAAAAAGTTTACAGCAGCCAAGAGTGGTGACTCATGTCTGTAATCCCAGCACTTTGGGAGGCCAAAGTGGGCAGATCACCTGAGGTCATGGGTTCGAGACCAGCCTGACCAACATGGTGAAACCACGTTTCTACTAAAAATACCAGAATTAGCCAGGCATGTTGGCATCAGCCTGTAGTTCCAGTTACTTGGGAGGCTGAGGCAGGAGAATCACTTGGACCCAGGAGGCGGAGGCTGCAGTGAGCCAAGATCATGCCATTGCACTCCAGCCTGGGCAATGGAGCGAGACTCTGTCTCAAAAAAAAAAAAAATTACAGCAAAAAATACTTGATGTGGGCCACAGGTGTGTTTTAATATGCTTGATCTGATGTGCGAGAGGCCCTGAGAGGGAGTGTTTCCAGGACCTACAGAGGGAATGAGAGAGGAGAGTCCCTGCTGTCGGGAGGTGGGTGAGAAAAGCTCCTACCACTGCAGAAATCCTCCTGTAAGGCTCCTCGGCGGCTCACCAGGCGATTCCTCAGCGAAGAAAGGTGAGGCAGCTTGCCCAGGGTCACCCGGCCAGTCTCAATTGAGGACTGACAACCAAAATGAGTGACTGAGGCAAGTCTTAATCACTGAGGTTTATTAAGCCACGTTAGGGCGCTTCTGGGAAAAACAAGCCACAGACACATCTGTGGCTGTTTTTCCCAAGAAGTTCCAAGTTTTGTATTTGTACATTTCTTCCTTTTTTTTTTTCTTTTTGATACGGAGTTTCACTCTTGTTGCCCAGGCTGGAGTGCAGTGGCGCGATCTCAGCTCACTGCAACCTCCACCTCCCGGGTTCAAGCGATTCTCCTGCCTCAGCCTCCCGAGTAGCTGGGATTACAGGCATGAGCCACCACACCCGACTGATTTTTGTATTCTTAGTAGAGACGGGGTTTCTCCATTTGGTCAGGCTGGTCTCAAACTCCTGACCTCAAGTGATCCACCCACCTCAGCCTCCCAAAGTGCTGGGATGACACCTAGGAAGAGGGGCAGGCGGGCAGTCAGGCTTAGGCGAACACTACATTTTATATAAGATAAGGTGAACATCTGAAGGTGGAAATGAGCGCCACTGCACTCAGCCTGGACAACAGAGCAAGACCCTGTCTCAAAGAAAAAGAGAAGTGTGAGTGGTCCTGATTTTTAAAATTTTCCTTTACAGGACTTTGGACACTAGAACTAGGCCTCTTTCCAAAACATGCTGATACTGAAGGGGTCACGCTGAAGGCTGAGGGCTAGGGCCTTTAAAGGTGGGGCACCCTCTTCCTTCTACCCGTCCTTGACCCTCAGCAGACTACAGGTTGATCTCCCCTTTGCCATGAGTGCCCAAGGAGGGAACTTGTGATCTAGCAGTTTCTTGATAATCCCCAAAAGGCTTTAATTACTCCATTTCCCTGCCACGCCCAGGGCAGGAGGAGGGTGAGCGGGAAAGCTGTCCACCTTCTGCTAAACGGGTCAGGAGGCATCGGGAGCCACGTGGGTTGTGGTTTAGGAGCCTGAGCTGCTGATCCCCAGGCAGGCCTACACAATGGGAGCTGCTCCCTGCAGCCCCCGGGCCGGCCTGGGTTGCATAACCCATGAGGTCAGCCCGGCCTGCGGCAGTTGCTTTCCCACAACGGAGGGGCCGCTCCCCACCTCCTGCGGGACCCACAGCCCTGGGTCTCTTTCCAGCTTTCCTCTTTCACTGGCAAAGCTGCAGGCCCCATAAACTGGGGAAGGGTTGAGGCCCTGCCTCTCCTGAACTGGGCAAGGGTCGAGGACTTCCCCATGGGTCCAGGCCTCCAGCATTACATCAGGAGGTAGCCTGGGGAGGACAGAGCACTGAATCCCTCTGGCATCAGCTCCTCTGGCCAGCCCTGCACCTGCTCTGTGGGGCTAGGGCCTGGGGAGGTGTCCCAAAATAGCCCGCAGGGGCCCGGGAGCTCTGGCCTTCAAGGTCAGACACTAGCACTGAGAATCCTGGTGAGGCTGTCTTCCCAGACCCCGCCTGGCAGGCCGGCTGGGCACGGCTGCGGAGAAAGACAGGGCAGGCTCCCCAGGCACTGGCCCCCGCGGCAACCTCTCCTGTCTCTAAAATCGGATGTAGATTAAGAACGCTCCATCTGGCAAGACCAAATGGAATTCGGCAGAAGCATAACCAGGACACTGGGTTTTGGATCTGTGACTCTCCACACATGCAGAGGACAAAAATACAAGAGAAAGGGGTCAGGAGAGAGGCGTATGATGGGGGGCGGGGGTGTGATGTGTGTGTTGTGTGGGTGTTGTGTGTCTTTATGATATGTGTGTGTACACCTGTGTTGTGTTGTGTGTGTATTGTATGTGTTCTGTGTGTCTGTTGTGGTGTGTGTTGTGTGTGTGTGATGTGTCTGTTGTGTGGTGTTTGTATTGGTGTTGTATGGTGTGTGGTGTGTGTGTGTCTGTGTGTGATGTGTCTGTTGTGTAGTGTGTATGTATGGGGTGGTGTGTGATGTGTGTGTCTGTTGTGTGGTGTGTGTATGATGTATGTCCGTTGTGTGGTGTGTGGTGTGTCTGTTGTGTAGTGTGTGTATATGGGGTGGTGTGTGGGGTGTGTGTGGTGTACGTGTGTTTGTTGTGTGGTGTGTCTGTTGCATGATATGTGTATGGGGTGGTTGTGGTGTGTGTCTGTTGTTTGGTGTGTGTGTGTGTGTGTGTGTGTCTGGGGGGTTGTGTGCTATATGATGTGGGGAATGGACATTGACTCAGTGTGTGGTGTTGTCTGTTGTGTGTTGTGGTGTGTGTATCTGTTGCGTGTTGTGTGGTGTGTGGTGCGTGTGTGTGTCTGGGGGGTTGTGTGCTATATGATGTGGGGAATGGACATTGACTCAGTGTGTGGTGTTGTCTGTTGTGTGTTGTGTGTGTGTGTCTGGGGGGTTGTGTGCTATATGATGTGGGGACATTGACTCAGTGTGTGGTGTTGTCTGTTGTGTGTTGTGTGTGTATCTGTTGTGTGTTGTGTGGTGTGTGGTGTGTGTGTGTGTCTGGGGGGTTGTGTGCTATATGATGTGGGGAATGGACGTTGACTCTGTGCGTGTGGTGTGTGTGCCTGTTGTGTGTTGTGTGGTGTGGTGTGTGTGTGTGTCTGGGGGGTTGTGTGCTATATGATGTGGGGAATGGACAGTGACTCAGTGTGTGTGGTGTGTGTCTGTTGTGTGATGTGTGTTGTGTGGTGCGTGTGTGTGTCTGGGGGGTTGTGTACTATATGGTGTGGGGAATGGACATTGACTCTGTGTGGCTGGAAAGTGATCTTTCAAGAGAGGATTAACCAAAGGAAATGGGAAATTGAGGTCAGGATGGATAAGGAAAACATGGGGCAAACTGGGTGGTCAGAGAAAGACGAGGATGGCCTCTAGGCTCCAAGAGCACCCCAGATAAAAGGCTGGAATAGGGGCAGGAGAGAAGCCCCCCGTACAGAGGGTTATTCCAGGGCCTGAGGGCATCCCCTCCACCCCAGAGGAGTGAAGGTGGGAGGAAGTGTTTTCTGCTTAAGCATTGGGAATAAACGTGGCTGCCAACAACAGAAAACTTGACTGGCAGGTGTAAAGAAATAGTGGTTTCTTTGTCTCCCAGAATAAAAAATCTGGAAGTGGGCAGGGCTGGCATCTGTGGGGTTCACTTGGCCTTTCCCCATGGAAATAAGACTGCAGCAGTTTCCGTATCAGGAGTCTTTTCAAAGCAGGAAGAAGGCGGTCTGTCCTAGGCACCCTCCTTCCACACAGGTCCCTTGGCCAGAACAGGTCACGTGGTTTCTCCCAGTTGCAAGGTAGGCCGGGGAAGCACAGGGCAGTTGCCATGATCCGTGGCTCACCCTGGCTGACCACTCTGTTATGCCCCAAACAAAAGCAGTTTCATTAGTAAGGAAGAAGGGGACATGAATATCGGGAAGCCAGTCATGCCACACGAGACCCTGGGGAGCAAACATTTTTCCTTTTGTTGTTGTTGTAGAGCTGAGGTCTCACAATGTCACCCAGGCTGGTCTCAAACTCCTGGCCTCAAGCGATCCCCCTGACTCTCAAAATGCTGAGATTACATGCATGAGCCACCACACCTGGCTGATAAACATTTTCAATAAAGGCTAAATTCAGGTAATATAATCTCCTGCCCTGCCCACTGCACAGACAAATCAATCTCGAAAGCTCAGAGGTATTTCAAGAATAGTTTGGTGGCTGGATGCGGTGGTTCACGCCTGTAATCCCAGCACTTTGGGAGGCCGAGGCGGGTGGATCACCTGAGGTCAGGAGTTTGAGACCAGCCTGACCAACGTGATGAAACCCCGTCTCTACTAAAAATACAAAATTAGCTGGAGGTGGTAGCGGTGGTGGGCGCCTGTAATCCCAGCTACTCAGGAGGGTGACACAGGAGAATCGCTTGAACCCGGGAGGCGGAGGTTGCAATGAGCCGAGATCGTGCACTCCAGCCTCGGTGACAGAGTGAGACTCAGTCTCAAAAAAAAAAAAAAAAAAAGAATAGTGAATAGTTTGGTGGACAGGGGCTATAGGAAACGGGGAATGTTGGTTGGTTGGGAATGAAACCATACGGGTGTGGAACCCGGTCCTCTGTGTGTGTGTGTGTAGACTGCCTCTGTGTGGGGGCCACAGGACCAACTGAGTCATGAGTCTCAGGTTGAGTGGAGTCAGCCAGTCAGAAATGCGAAAAGTCTGAAAAGACATCTCAAAACACCAGTCTTAGGTTTTACAATGGTGATGTTAGCTACAGGAACAATTGGGGAAATTGAAAATCTCATGACCTCCAGAACAATGGCTGGTTACCCTTTATGCCTACATCTCAGCAGAATCCAGGCTCTTCTCATAATCCTGATCTTGTGTGCTTTCATTCATTTTATAAGGGTGGTTTAGTTTGGGGAAGGGCTATTATCATCCTTGTTTTAAGGTTAAACAATAAACAAAATTCCTCTCAAAGTTACCTTGGCCTAAACCCGGCAGGAATGACCCAGGTTGGAGACTGGAGGTAAGACAGCCAACTATGTCAAATTTCTCTTACTGTCATAATTTTATTTTATTTTATTTATTTATTCATTTATTTATTTTGAGACAGAGTTTTGCTCTTGTTGCCCAGGCTGGAGTGCAATGGTGCAATCTCAGCTCACCGCAACCTCTGCCTCTCGGGTTCAAGTGATTCTCCTGCCTCAGCCTCCCAAGCAGCTGGGATTACAGGCCCGCGCCACCACACCTGGCTAATTTTGTATTTTTAGTAGAGATGGGGTTTCTCCATGTTGGTCTCCAGGCTGGTCTCCAACTCCCGACCTCAGGTGATTTGCCCACCTTGGCCTCCCAAAATGCTGGGATTACAGGCATGAGCCACTGCGCCTGGCCTTTATTTATTTATTTATTTATTTATTTTTAATTGAAAGAGACAGGGTCTCACTATGTTACCCAGGCTGGTCTCAAACACCTGGGCTTAATCAATCCTCCTGCCTCAGCCTCTCAAAGTGCTGGGATTACAGGCATGAGCCACCATTCAGCCATTGGTTTCAATAATATTCCAAAGTTGATCTGAAAGAGCCTCCAGAAAGCTGTGAGGCCCCACATTGGGAATGCGACCCAAAACCCCAAGGTCGGGGTCCTGACCCATTTGTGCGATCATCTCAGTCAACATTAATTGTCTTGGTCTTCTTAGCAACCTCACGATGACAGAAATGCTATTATTTCCCTTGCTACAGATGAAAAAGGAGGGGCTCAGACAAGTTCAGAAACTAGGTCAATGGCCGGGCGTGGTGGCTCACGTCTGTAATCCCAGCACTTTGGGAGGCCAAGGCGGGCAGATCACCTGAGGTCAGGAGATCGAGACCAGCCTGGCCAACATGGTGAAACCCCATCTCTACTAAAAAGACAAAAACTAGCCAGGCATGGTGGCCTACGCCTGTAACCCCAGCTACTCTGGAGGCTGAGGCAGGAGGATCACTTGAACCCAGGAGGCAGTGGTTGCAGTGAGCTGAGGTCACACCACTGCACTCCAGCCTGGGCAACAGAGGGAGACTCCATCTCAAAAAAAAAAAAAAAAGAAAAAGAAAAAAGAAACTAGGCCAAGGTCACACCGGCTGTGAGTGGCAGAGCAAGGGGTGCTGTCCGCAGAATCCTCTCTTTTCACCACGTCACCCTTTGCAGGAGGAGCACATATGGGTCAAGATGTTACGGGCTCAACCAGCGTGGTGGCTCACACCTGGAATCCCAGCACTTTGGGAGGCTGAGGCAGGTGGATCACCTGAGGTCAGGAGTTCAAGACCAGCGTGGCCAACATGGTGAAACCCTGTCTCTACAAAAAATACAAAAATTAGCCGGGCAATAATAATAATAATAATAATAATGAAGTGATGGGCTCTAATCCAGACCCTCCTCGGGTTTTCAGTCCTAAACTCTTTGGCTACTCCTTACAGGAAGTTGTCCAGTTACACATCTCTGATCCTTCCCCAGGATCAAAACCCAGGAAGGAGGCCTTGAAGCCAGACAGAACCATGTTCAAATTCCCACTCTACTACTTGGCAGTGTGTGGCCTTGGGCAAGTTACTTGGCTCTGAGCCTCCTAAGCAGGGGTAACCCCTTTGAGAGGTTGTAGGATTCAATGGGAGACCATGGATTAGCGCCAAGAAATAGCAGGTGCTCCATAAATATCCGTGCCTTTCTGGGGATACAGCCAAGTGGAAACTCAGCCATGGACGATACCTGGGCTCCTGGGAGCCAACATCACTTTATTTCCCACATTCTGCTAACAAAATCCAATTCGTTATAATCAGGGGTCATCTGTTTTGCTTTCCTTTGCCAATAAAAAATTGACTTGGCATGAAGTCTTCAGTAGTTACTTCAGCTAACATTTGTTGAACACCGTCCAGGAGCCAGGCACCCTGCTGCTCAGAGGCTGGCCCTGGCCCTCTGGGAGTTCAGAGTCTCACTGCAGAATGGCACCTGCAGGCAAAGAACTCTAAAACAAGGCAGGGTAGTGAGAGATGTGAGCCATACGTTCAAAATGCTGGGACTTCAGAGACAGCAGAGGCCACCTGGGTGTGGCATGGGCTTGGCATGCAGTCCTCTGGGGCTACTGCGGAAGGGGTGTCACCAGGACCAGCTACAGAACTTATGGGGCCCCTTTTTCAAAAAGTTATTAAGAATCTTGGTAATAGGCCAGGCGCGGCGGCTCACGCCTGTAATCCCAGCACTTTGGGAGGCCGAGGCCGGCTGATCACCTGAGGTCACGAGTTCGAGACCAGCCTGACCAACATGGAGAAACCCCGTCTCTACTAAAAATACAAAATTAGCTGGGCGTGGTGGTGCATGCCTGTAATCCCAGCTACTTGGGAGGCTGAGGCAGGAGAATCGCTTGAACCCGGGAGGCGCAGGTTGCCATGAGCCGAGATTGCGCCACTGCACTCCAGCCTGGGCAACGAGAGCGAAACTCCTTATCAAAAAAATAATAATAATAATAATTTCAGTGATAGTAGGGCATTAAGCCAAATGTAGGGCCCTCTGAGCATGGCGCCCTGTACCACCACACAGGCCACTGACCCATGCAGCTGGCCCTGGGTGCCGCTATTCCATGACCCCAGGAGGTCAGGTGCTGTCCCTCTGGGAGAGGCAGGCTCAGGGCAGACCCTGTGGGAGTTGGGCCCTCAGGCCTCATCCAAGCTGCTGACCATGCGTCACGGCTCCCTATTTCTGTGTGAGGAGAATTGTTCCTGTCTGGTGACTGTCATCAGGAGGGTGACTGTGGATTTCCACAAGCCAGGATGGACGGCAACTTCCCCAGCATGAGAAAGAGCCACCCAGGATTGGCTTGGGGCTGTTGACAGTGGCCTGTCCCTCGCTATGTCATCTGCCTCACCACAAACCACCAGCAGAAGGTTCAGAGGCCAGGGAAAGAGAGGGGAGCCACTGGGCCAGGCCTGATGGTGCACACCTGTCATCCCAGCACTTTAGGAGGCTGAGGCAGGAGGACGGCTTGGACCCAGGAGTTGGAGACTAGCCTGGGCAATGCAATGAGAACCTGTCTCTCCAAAAAAAAAAAAAAAAAAAATTAAAAACTTAGCCAGACATAGTGGTGCATGCCTGGAGTCCCAGTTACTCCGAAGGCTGAAGTGGGAGGATCGTTTGGGCCTGAGAGTTTGAGGCTGCAGTGAGCTCTGATCACACCACCGCACTCCAGCCTGGGCAACAGAGCAAGACCCTGTCGCAAAATAAATAAATAATTTTTTTTTTTTTTGAGACAGGGTCTCACGCTGTCACCAAGGCTGGAGTGCGGTGGCGCGATCTCGGCTCACTCCAACCTCTCCCTCCTGGGTTCAAGCGATTCTCCTGCCTCAGCCTCCTGAGTAGCTGGGATTACAGGCGCCCGCCACCACACTCGCTCATTTTTTTGTATTTTTAGTAGAGATGGGGTTTTGCCTTGTTGGTCAGGCTAATCTCAAACTCCTGACCTCAAATGATCCACCCGCCTCGGCCTCCCAAAGTGCTGGGATTAAAGGTGTGAGCCACCACTCCTGGCCATAAAAATTTTTAAATGACATTTTTTGGCTACTGTTAAAACAACAACAAAAACAGGAACTAAGAAGTATCGGGGAGGATGCGGAGAAACTGCGCCCGGTGCATCGCTGGTGCAGAATCAAATGGCGCAGCCGCTGTGGAAACCAGTGTGGTGGGAGGCTCCTCAAAACATTAAACAGACAATTACCAAACAATCTCGCAATCCCGCTTCCGGGTATATGCCCCAAACAACTGAAAGCAGAGTCTCAGAGCAGTATTTGCACGCCCACACTCACACAGCATTACCACAAGAGCAAAAAGATGGAAGCAACTCAAGCTTCACGGACGGACAAACGGATGAACCAAATGGGTTATATGCACAAAATGGAATATTATGCAGCCTTAAAAAGGAAGGATATTCTGACACATGCTGCAACGTGGATAAGCCTTGAGAACATTATGCTAAGCGAAATAAGCCAGCTACAAAAAAGACAAATATTGTATGATTCCACTTATACGAGTAATCAAATTCCCACAAACAGAAAGAAAAAAGTGGTTGTCAGGGCTGGGAGGAGAGGGAAACAAGGAGTTATTGTTCAATGGGTGTAACATGGCAGTTTTTTTGTTTTTGGGGGGTGGTTTTGAGACAGAGCCTCCCTCTGTCACCCAGGCCGGAGAGCAGTGGTGCGATCTCAGCTCGCTGAAACCTCTGCCTCACAGGTTGGAGCGGTTCTCCTGCCTCAGCCTCCCGAGTAGCTGGAATTACAGGCACGCACCACCACGCCTGGCTAATTTTTGTATTTTTACTAGAGATGGGGGAGTTCCACCATGTTGGCCAGGCTGGTCTCGAACTCCCAACCTCAGGTGATCCGCCCGCCTCAGCCTCACAAAGTGCTGGGATTACAGGCGTGAGCCACCGCACCTGGCCCACATTGCAGTTTTGCAAGAGCGAGACTTCTGGAGATGGATGGGGTGATGGTTACACAACAATGTGAATGAGCTTAATGCTACTGATCTGTACACTTAGAAATGACTAAGATAGTACATTTTATGTTATGTGTATTTTACCGCAGTTAAAAATGTTGTAAGTTTAATGACTTTTGTTTTCTGTATATAAAAAAATATTTATTAAAAATCGTGAGCCCAGGCACAGTGACTCATGCCTGTAAACTCAGCACTTTAGGAGGCCAAGGGGGGAGGATCACCTGAGGCCAGGAGTTTGAGACCAGCCTAGGCAACATAGCAAGACCCTGCCTCTACAAAAAATAAAACATAAAAATTAGCTGGGCATGGTAGTGCACGCCTGTAGTCCCAGCTACTAGGGAAGCTGAAGTGGAAGGACCGCCTGAGCCCAGGAGGTCAAGGACGCAGTGAGCTGTAATTGCACCACTGCACTCCAGCCTGGGAAAATAAATAAATATAAATAAATGGCCCAGGCGCAGTAGCTAATGCCTGTAATCCCAACACTGGGAGGCCAAGGCAGGCAGATTCCTTGAGGCCAGGAGTTCGAGACCAGCCTGGCCAACATGGTAAAACCCTGTCTCTACTAAAAATACAAAAATTAGACAAGCATGGTGGCACATGCCTGTAATCCCAGCTACTCAGGAGGATGAGGCACGAGAATTGCGTGAGCCGGGGAGGCAGAGGTTGCAGTGAGCTGAGATCCTGCCACTGCACTCCAGCCTGGGCAACAGTGGGAACCTGTCTCAAAAAAAAAAAAAATAAATATAATAATTAATAAATAAAAATCTTGAATGTATAGGAAAACCGAAAGAGGGCTGGGTGTGATGGCTCACACCTGTAATCCCAGCACTTTGGGAGGCTGAGGCGGGCGGATCACCTGAGGTCGGGAGTTCGAGACCAGCCTGATTGACATGAGAAACCCTGTCTCTACTAAAAATACAAAATTAGCCAGCTGTAATCCCAGCTACTCGGGAGGCTGAGGCAGGAGAATCGCTTGAACTTGGGAGGTGGAGGTTGCGGTGAGCTGAGATCGCGCCACTGCACTCCAGCCTGGGCAAGAAGAGCGAAACTCCATCTCAAAAGAAAAGAAAAGAAAAGAAAAATCCAAAGAGGCAAAGATGTAATATCTCTCTTATATTATACATAAATACTCATAAAGAAATAAAAGTACCTGTAACTCTACTACCCAGAGACAACTGCTGCTAAAGACATGATCTACTTCCTCCTGTATTTGGAACACACACAGGTGTGTACCTCTCTCCAGCCATCTATAATTCAGATCAGTTCAACAGCTATAGTTATGTATACTCTATTTCCTCCTGTATTTGGAACACACACAGGTGTGTACCTCTCTCCAGCCATCTATAATTTAGATCAGTTCAACAGCTATAGTTATGTATACTCTATTTCCTCCTGTATTTGGAACACACACAGGTGTGTACCTATCTCCAGCCATCTATAATTCAGATCAGTTCAATAGCTATAGTTATGTATACTCTATTTCCTCCTGTATTTGGAACACACACAGGTGTGTACCTATCTCCAGCCATCTATAATTCAGATCAGTTCAATAACTACAGTTATGTACACTACTTTCTCACTTCATGTATTATAAGTATTTCTAAAATCTCCTGTAATATGATTTTTAGTGGCTTCCTGGTATTTGATCATATGGACATAATGTTCAACTAATCTTCTATTTCTGAACATTTAGGTCGTTTAAAGTTTTTCCGTGTTTTAAACAATACTGTGATGTACATCCTTATGTATATACTGTTATCCATATTTCTCGAACTCCTGACCTCAGGTGATTCGCCCGCCTTGGCCTCCAAAAGCGCTGGGGTTACAGGTGTGAGCCACCACACCCCGCCCTGTTATCCATATTTCTGATCATTTCCTTAGGGTGATTTCCCACAAGACATTTCACCGAGTCAAAGACTGAGTGTCTTGAGGCCAGGGGCACGTACGGATCGGGCCCTCCTGATGACAGGGCCGCGTCTGGCCCAGTGCTCTGTGCTCTGTGCTCTGTCCCCTCCAGGCTTCTAAGGCCCCAGACTTTCTCTCCTTTGACTTTGGCTAGATTCGACTCCCGTAAGTGCTGGCGAACGAAAAGTTCTGGAATGTAAGCAAAATGGGGCCCCCGTGTCCATATGGGCTAACTCTGTAGGCTCAAATGAAATCTTTTTTTTTTTTTTTTTTTTGAGACAGAGTTTCGCCCTTGTCACTCAGGATGGAGTACAATGGCGTGATCTCGGCTCACTGCAACCTCCACCTCCTGTGTTCAAGCAATTCTCCTGCCTCAGCCTCCCAAGTAACTGGGATTACAGGCATGCACCACCACATCCAGCTAATTTTTGTATTTTTAGTAGCGATGGGGTTTCACCATGTTGGCCAGGCTGGTCTCAAACTCCTGACCTCAAGTGATCCACCTGCCTTGGCCTCCCAAAGGGCTGGGATTACAGGCTTGAGCCACCTCGCCCGGCCCTCAAATGACATCTTAAGGCCGGGTATAGCAGCTTACACCTATAATCCCAGAACTCTGGGGGGCTGAGGCAGGTGGATCACTTGAGCCCAGGAGTTCAAGACCAGCCTAGGCAACATGGTGAAATCTTGTCTCTACAAAAAATACAAAAATTCACTGGGCATGGTGGCATGCGCCTGTAGTACCACCTACTTGGGAGGCTGAGGTGGGAGGATCACCTGAGCCCGTGAGGTTGAGGCTGCAGTGAGCTGTGATTGCACCACTGCACTCTAGCCTAGGTGACAGAGAGAGACTCTGTTGAAAGGAAGAGAGAGAGAGAGAGAGGCAGAGAGAGAGAAAGAAAGAACAAAAAGAAAAGAAAGAGAGAGAAAGAAAATTTACAAAAAAACTCAATTTCTGTTGCAGGAAGAGGCTTAGAGATTGCCTCCTCCCACTCTTTCATTTTATGAAGCAGAAAAATGAGGGCCACACATGGCATCAGCTATTCCCGTTTCTTGATGGACAGACTGAGCTGGAACTGGCTTGGTCCATCACCCCAGGGAGTAATGGCTGGCTTAACAGCCCACAGCAAATTCTGTGGTTCACTGGACCAAGCAGCAGGTTCCAGGACAGCTGTGGGGTCAGTTGGGGCCATCTTTGGACTCAGCCTGAGTGTCAGCTGTCTCATGCCCACATCCTGGCACTCACAGGAGCCAGTAAAACTCTCTCCAGGGCAGTGGCTGCGACCCTGTCTCCTAAACTCAGAAAACCAGGTCCTAACTTTGGGGACTTGCGGGGAAGGGTGGGAGGGGGTCGGGGGATAAAAGACTACAAATAGAGTGCAGCGTATAGTGCTTGGGTGATGGTTGCACCCAAATCTCACAAATCACCACGAAAGAACTTACTCATGTGACCAAATAGCACCCGTACCCCAATAACCTATGGGAACATTCAAAAGAAAAAGAAAACCGTGTCCTAGTCTCCTCAGCCAGTGGGGCGGTGTGTGGTGGGTGGTCTGCACTTGGTCCCAGAGAGGTCAATGAGACCCAGACTTGCCTGTGAAAGAAACGGAGTGGTGGCGGGGCCCGGGAAAAACCCCTGCGTTCACTCGTTCACTCGGCGCCTGCTGTGTGGCAGGCAGCCCCCCTGCTGGGCTCGCTCAGTCCTCGGTACCATCCTGGGAGCAGGCATTAGCCCCCTTTTGCAGATGAGCCTCCGAAAAGGTGAAGAACTTGACCAAGGGTCAAACTGAGCAAATGGCAGAGTCAGGCCCCTACCCCGGCTGACCACCCAATGCCCAGTGGCTGCAGCGTTCCCGTTACACAGCACGATAGCTCTGCAACACACATAAGCATGCATTAAACCAGAGATGCGCCATCACTCCCACTTCTGGAAGCTGATCTCATAGCACAGCAAGAGACGAGCAAGAAGGATGTTCTAACAAGTGTGTTGAGGGGTCACAGGGTGGGCCTTTCTCACTCCAAGGCTCTGGGACTCTTGGAGCTCTGGTAGGAGCAGGGGAGACCAACCCTACCTCGGATGCAGGGGCAGCATCCGATGACCCTGATAATGACCACAAGAAAGAGGCAGCACCTCTAGGGCAGGAAAGTGCTGGGGGTCAGAGGCATGGGTGCCATTCCAGGCTGAGCCAGGCTGGCTGTGTGAGCCTGCGTGAGTCACTTAACCTCTGAACCTAGTGCTTCACGTGCAAAAGAGGGAAGCTTCCCTCATCCTCCTCCAGCCGTCACCCGCTGCCTTCCTTCTCTCTGCAGCAAAATGGCTCCGAAGCGTTGTCTACACTTCTTTTCTCTGATTCTTTATTTAAATTTGCACTTATTAGGCTGAGCGCAGTGGCTCATGCCTGTAATCCCAGCACTTTGGGAGGCCGAAGCGAGCAGATCACTTGAGGTTAGGAGTTCAAGACCAGCCTGGCCAACATGGTGAAACCCTGTCTCTACTAAAACACAAAAATTCGCTGGGCATGGTGGCAGGCACCTGTAATCGCAGCTACTCAGGAGGCTGAGGCAGGAGAATCACTTGAACCCGGGAGGCAGAGGTTGCAGTGAGCCGAGATCGTGCCACTGCACTCCAGCCTGGGCCACAGAGCAAGACTCTGTCTCAAAAATAATAAATAAATAAATAAATAAATAAATCTTCACTTATAAATTACTCCCTAAATAAAAATAACACGTTATATACATATATATACCCATCTCAGCCTCCCAAAGTGCTGAGATTACAGGTGTGAGCCATCGTGCTTTGCCATAACGTGGTTTTTTTAATGTTTTATTTTAAAAATGTTTTTATAACTTTTATCTATTTATTTATTTTTTGAGATGAAGTCCCGCTCTGTTGCCCAGGCTGGAGTGCAGTGGCACCATCTCAGCTCACTGCAAGCTCTACCTCCTGGGTTCAAGCGATTCTCCGGCCTCAGCCTCCCAAGTAGCTGGGATTGCAGGCATGTGCCACCGCACCTGGTTAATTTTTCTATTTTTAGTAGAGACAAATTTTTGCCATGTTGGCCAGGCTGGTCTCAAATCCCTGACCTCAGGTGATCCGCCCGCCTCGGCCTCCCAAAGTGCTGGGTTTACAGGCGTGAGCCACCGCGCCTGGACAAAATTTTTTTATACCTTTTAAATTCCAGACCCACCACCAGGTTGAATCCTCCGGGCTGACTGTGCAGACCCCCCACTATGCCCCCTACTTTCCATTAACTGGTATGTTTTATGTTATCAAGAATATTAAAACAAACCTATGCATCTGCCATTGAGCTTAAGAAATAGATGGCCGGACGCGGTGGCTCACGCCTGTAATCCCAGCACTTTGGGAGGCCGAGGCGGGCGGATCATGAGGTCAGGAGATCGAGACCATCCTGGCTAACACGGTGAAACCACGTCTCTACTAAAAATACAAAAATTAGCCGGGCGTGGTGGCAGGCGCCTGTAGTCCCAGCTACCCGGGAGGCTGAGGCAGAAGAATGGCGTGAACCCGGGAGGCGGTGCTTGCAGTGAGCTGAGATCGCACCACTGCACTCCAGCCTGGGCGACAGAGTGAGACCCTGTCTTGGGGAAAAAAAAAAAAAGAACTAGACGAATGCCCAGGCATGGGAAGCCCCAGTCACCTTTCCCTCCCTCAACCCGAGAGGAGTCACATTCCAAACCTAGCCTTTATCATTCCCTTCCTTTTCATTAGACGGTTATGTATGTACGTATCCTTAAACTTTATGCTAATGGTATCACATTTTGTGTATTCTACTACTTTTAAACATTTATGGATTAAATTCTGTCCCTCCAAAAAAGATATGTTGGAGTCTTAACCCCTAATACTTTAAGCCGTGACCCCGTTTGCAGACACCGTCTTTACAGAGGTGCTCAAGGTGAGAGGCACTCATTAGAGTGGACCCTCATTCGATACGACTGGTGTCCTTATAACAAGCAGAACACAGGACAGAGGCAGAGCCACCAGCAGGGAGAACACCACATGAAGCCTGGAGTCAGGCTTCCGGACGAAGCCGGGAGAGAGGCGGGGAACAGGTCCTCCTCCCACGCCTTCCCAGGGAACGTGGCCCTGTCGGCACCCTGATCTCCTCGCCCCTAGAACTGGGAGACAACACGTTTCTGCTGTCCAGCCACCCAGTGTGCGGTACTTTGTTACAGCAGCCCCAAAAAATAAAGACACCATTCCATGTCATGTTCTTGAAATTCATTTGTTAATGAGTGAAGCCGAGGCTCATTCATTTTCTCTGTCATGTTCTATTATATGATATCCCACAATTTATCCATTTTACTTTGAAAAGTTATATGGTTTGCTTACAGGTTTTATTGTTGTTTTGAAATTGCAAACTGTGCTGCCCCGAACCTCCCTGCAAACTGTGCCGTAGGAGTGGAGCTGCACTTGGGTCAAAGAGGGCAAAGGTAAGTCTTAACTGTGCAGCCCAGATCAGAGCAATAACAACTCATCAAGATAAGTCTAATTGCTACTCAACGGGGTGGAACTTACACGCTTGCCAGTGGGCAGGCAGAGTTCCCTGTGTCCTACATTCTTGTTAACACTTGAAACTCCAGTCTTTTTTTTTTTTTTTTTTTTTTTTTTGAGAGATGGAGTCTCACCCTGTTGCCCAGGCTGGAGTGCAGTGGTGTGATCTTGGCTCACTGAAACCTCTGCCTCCCGGGTTCAAGCGATTCTCCTGCCTCAGCCTCCCAAGCAGCTGGGACTACGGGCTCCCGCCACCACGCCCAGCTAATTTTTGTGTTTTTAGTAGAGACGAGGTTTAACCATGTTGGCCAGGATGGTCTCAATCTCTTGACCTCATGATCCGCCCACCTCGGCCTCCCGAAGTGCTGGGATTACAGGCGCAAGCCACTGCACCCCGCCCTGCAGTTTTGTTTTGTTTTTTTAATTTATTATTTTAAAAAAATGTTTTTGAGACAGGATCTCACTCTGCCACCCAGGCTGGATCATGGTGGCATGATCTTGGCTCACTGCAGCCTCGTCCTCCCAGGCTCAAGTGATCCTCCCGCCTCAGCCTCCCAAGTAGCTGGGACCACAGGTATGTGCCACCATGCCTGACTAATTTTTGTGCTTTTTGTAGAGATGAGTTCTCACTGTGTTGCCCAGGGTGGTCTCAAACTCCTGGGCTCAAGCGATCTTCCTGCCTCAGCCTCCCAAATTGCTGGGATTACAGGCATGAGCCAACACACCCAGCCCGAAGGAACTGCCATTCTTTTTATCTTTGCCAATCTGATGGTTATAGAATGGTATTTCCTAGTGGCTTTATTTTGCGTTTTCTTTATTTCTAATAAAGTTAAGCATCTTTTACATGTTGATGGACAATGTATATTTCCTGTTTTGCAAAACACCTGGTCGGGTTTTCCTGGTCTTTTTTCTTATTTATTTCTAGGAGTTCTTTATGTACTCTGGACTCTGATCCTGCATTGGTCTTTCTAAAGCTTTATTCGTCGCATCCTCTGATGAACAGAGCTTTTCTTTTTTCTTTTCCCTTTTAAAATTAGTAGAATTTATTCATCTTTTTCTTAACAATTAGTGCTTTCAAGAAATTCTTTGTACCCCCAAGGTCAAGAGATATTATCCTATACTCGCTTTGTAAGGGTTGGTATTCTGCCTGTCAGGTCGTTAATGGACCTGGCATTGATTTTGGAGCCTGCTGTGTAGTCAGATCTAAACTGGGAAAGGAACAATTGCCTGCTTTTCTCACAGGGGCGTTCTGAAGCTCAAAGGAGAAAATGCGTGTGAAAGTGTCCAGAACTGTGAAACAATGTACAAGTAAGAGAGTCTGCGATGCTGATTTGCTGGAGGGTGACAAAGCCGTTTAAGAGAAGGCTGCTTTGGCCTTTGATTTGCTAATCAGTTGGTAGCGTCATAGGCTGCCAGTAGGCCAGGCAGAAACCCAACCTCCATTCTGCCTCCGGAGGCTGGAGAACACAGCCAAAAAGACCAGCTGAAGCATGTGGTCTTTGCAGGAAAGTAAGTTCCAGTGGCACTGCTGGGGCTGGCCCCGTCCACCCACACTGTTCACTCCATCTGCCACCTGACATTAGCAAATTAGGCTGCAAATACAGCCCTGAGTCATAGAGAAAAGATGAAATTACACTCAGGAAACTCTGCTCACTGAAGTGCATGAGTAACAGGATGCAGAAAGACACCCATTAAAAGCGGCTAAAAACGAGTCAGGTGCTCCAAGGCAGCCTGCTGCACACCCCAACACGCGGGCAGGCTCCGCCCCAGCTCCAACTCCACCTGGAGGGGCAACACGCACCCATTATACGAGCCACACGGGGGCCCCAGCAACTGGCCCAGACAAGGCTGCAGAGCCCACTCAGGGTGGAACCCCCTTTAGCGAACTGGAAGGTTCCATGACGGGGCTGCGGGGAAGGAAGCCGACTCGTGGGGAGTTAGCTGAGCTGCCGGAGGAAACTGACAAAATCAAACGCACCCTTTGGCCTGCACAAGGCGATATTGTTGGTTCTCCCTGAAGCACATCCTGGCCAGGAGACAGAGCTTAGGCCAGCCCCCGGGCCAGGTGCCTGCTACCCAGACCTGTGATCCTAGCCAAAAGTCTCTGAGTTCTGGATGTCCACACTGGGAAGGGAGAGCAGCGAGGGAAGGGTTACCAAAGGGGCCTGAGGAGACATTCGGGGGTGACAGATTGTCAGCATCTTTTTGTTTGGTTTTTCTTTTAAGCGATGGGGGCGGGGGGTGGGGGGGGGTCTCACTATGTTGCTGAGGCTGGTCTCGAACTCCTGGCCTCAAGCAATCCTCCTGCCTCAGCCCCCGAGTAACTGGAATTCAAGACGTCAGCCACGGCCCCCAGCTTAGCTTCAGCATCTTGATTGCAGTGGTGGCTTCACAGATGTATACATATGTCAGAACTTATCAAATTGTATATTTTCAATATCTATTTTAGACAATTAGATCTCAATAAGGCTGTTTAAAAATTACAGAATGGTGTGATGGCGACTTTTACTAAATATGCATGTTGACAGCAAGAGGAACGACTAGAAGGAGGTCCCCAGATGTTAACAGTGCTTAGTTCTGGGCTGTGGGATTACAGAGGATTTTACTTTTCCTCTTTGTGTTTTTCTGTACTTTAAAAAATTTCTGAAATATATGTGTTTTACTTTTTTTTTTTTTTTAAGATGGAATCTTGCTCTGTCGCCCGGAGTGGAGTGCAGTGGCGCGATCTTGGCTCATTGCAACATCTGCCTCCTGGGTTCAAGCAATTCTCCTGCCTCAGTCTCTCAAGTAGCTGGGATTACAGGCATGTGCCACCACACCTAGCTAATTTTTGTATTTTTAATAGAGACAAGGTCTCGCCACGTTAGCCAGGCTGGTCTCGAACTCCTCACCTCAGGTGATCCATCCACCTCGGCCTCCCAAAGTGCTGGGATTACAGGCGTGGGCCAATGCGACCAGCCGTGTTTTACTTGTATAAATCAGGAAAAAAAAAAGTATCTATTTCAAAATAAAAGCAAACTTTAGGTCGCAGGGGTCTTCTGAAGGTCGGCAGCCATGACCTCACAGAGGCACACTCTGGGCTTAGCACGGTGGAGCTGTGCCCAGGGGAAGCAGCTTGGGCTTTACAACCAGGTCTGCAGCAAACTGCCCAGGCCAAACCTCAGCTCTGCCGCCCATCTCCTCAGCGGCCTTCAGCTAGTTACTTGAGTGCTTGGTGCCAATTTTAATCCCCAATTATATTTCGGAGACAATCGTCAAAGCCTCTGCAGGTGGCTGAGAGATTCAATGAGCCAATACAGGTGGCTCTTAGCAGTGTTCTCACAGCACAGCACAGACTGGGTGAATTACAGCTACTATTCCCTCCTATTAAAAAGAATAGAAGTGGCCGGACACAATGGCTCATGCCTGCAATCCCAGCACTTTGGGAGGCCGAGGCGGGTGGATCACCTGAGGTCAGGAGTTCGAGACCAGCCTGGCCAATATGGTGAAACCCCATCTCTACTAAAAATACAAAAATTAGCCGGGCGTGGTGGTGGGTGCCTGTAGTCCCAGCTACTCTGAAGGCTGACATGGGAGAATTGCTTGAACCCAGGAGGCAGTGGTTTCAGTGAGCCGAGATCGCGCCATCGCACTCCAGCCTGGATGACACGGCAAGGCTCTGTCCCAAAAAAAAAAAAAAAAGAATAGAATTGACTTGAGAAACTCTTTGCTTCTTTTTCCCCCATGAGGTTAGAAAAGATAATTGAATCATCTCTAGAACAGGACGCCAGTTTCTGGAACTGAAGGGTTTTGAGGTTTCTCTTAACGAATATCAGAAATCTTTATCTCTCAACCAACTGTAACCACCATCTGTGGCCTCCTCCAGCCCTCACCAATACGGGTACCCCTCCCAGGCTTCCTCTCCCTCCCTGAGCCTCTGCTGTGAATTATCTGAGTCCACTTCTTCTGAGGCTGCTTTTATGGGACAGAGACAAGACCCTACTCTTTCCTTCTCTTACTTGTTCCTTTTCTGTTGTCTGCCAGAAGTAACCACCCGTTGCCCAAACCAATCTTTAGCTTGGCCTCCTTTCAGGGGTCTGGATGCCATCTTTAACTGCCTTAGTCTGGTGGCCTGAGCAGCTTACCTGAGCCTCAGCTTCTTTTTTCTTTTTCTTTCCTTTTTTTTTTTTTTTTTTGTTTGTTTGTTTATTTGTTTCTTGTTTTTTCTGACAGGATTTCACGCCATCGGGCAGGCTGGAGTGCAGTGGTGCAATCACAGCTCACTGTAGCCTCAACTTCCAGAGCTCAGGTGAGCCTCCCACCTCAGCCTCCTGAGTAGCTGGGACTCCAGGCACGCACTCAATGCCTGGCTAATTTTTGTGTTTTTGGTAGAGATGGGGTTTCTCCATGTTGTCCAGCCTGGCCTCAAACTCCTGGGCTCAAGTGATCCGCCCACCTTGACTTCTCAACATGCTAAGATTACAGGTGGGATCCTACCAGGTGGGGCAGGAGTAATCAACCCTACTAGACAGATGGGGAAAATGAGAGGCCGGGCGCAGTGGCTCACATCTGTAATCCCAGCACTTTGGGAGGCCAAGGCAGGCAGATCACTTGAGGCCAAGAGTTCGAGACCAGCCTGGCCAACATGGCAAAACCCCATCTCTACTAAAATACAAAAATTAGCTGGGCATGGTCGTGGGCACCTGTAATCCCAGCTACTCGGGAGGCCGAGGCAGGAGAATTGCTTGAGCCCGGGAGGCAGAGGTTGCAGTGAGCCGAGATCGCACCACTACACACTCTAGTCTGGATGACAGAGCGAGACTTAGCCTCAAAACAAACAAACAAACAAGTGCACCTTTGTTAGTTTTATTTGAACCAATGTTTACATCTCTGGCAACCACAGGCTCATATGAAACTTCATGCTATTAAACTTTATGGGTGACATGGCCAGGCACGGTGGCTCACGCCTGTAACCCCAGCACTTTGGGAGGCCGAGGCAGGTGGATCACGAGGTCAGGAGATCGAGACCATCCTGGCTAATACGGTGAAACCCCGTCTCTACTAAAAATACAAAAATTAGCTGGGCGTGGTAGCACATGCCTGTAGTCCCAGCTACTTGGGAGGCTGAGGCAGGAGAATGGCGTGAACCCAGGAGGCGGAGGTTGCAGTGAGCCGAGATCATGCCACTGCACTCCAGCCTAGGCGACAGGGCGAGACTCTGTCTCAAAAAAAAAAAAAAAATTTATGGGTGACAATAGAACAAAGGCAGAGGGACAGGACAGAACAATGAGTCACTCCAACACACCCTGTGTGTTCTAAAAGAGGCCCCGGGACAAACACCTGCCTCAGTAGGAAGGTCCAGCATTCGTGGCGGTGTGTGCTGGGCGGTTGTGGTGAGGACTGTGTCTGTGTCTGGGCGGGTGTGTGTAGTTGTGGAGTTTATAGCTTTCCTTTGACTCAAATCCTTCTTCCCTATCACCGGCTTACATGTTAGAGGCCTGTAACAGGAGACCAGTTCCAGGCCAACCTGTGGTTAAAAGAACCTCAGCCTGTGAGCAAATGTTACTCCTCCTCCGCACTCGAGGACCCTGTGGCAGCCCAGCCTGTCAGGCCTCTGCAGACATGAGTTGGCCTGGTTCTCCCTGCTGCCATCCCTCACCCGCCAATCCCCAATCAGTCTTCACTGTATAAACAAGTGCTTCACTGAACAGCCCAGCGCATCTGCGAAAGATCCAACACGCAGCCCTTCTCGTTCCTTTGAGTGGATCCATTTGAAAAGCTCCTGTCTCCTGGCTGGGTGTGGTGGCTCACGCCTGTAATCCCAGCACTTTGGGAGGCCGAGGCGGGTGGATCACGAGGTCAGGAGTTTGAGACCAGCCTGGCCAACATGGCGAAACCCCGTCTCTACTAAAAATACAAAAATTAGCCAGGCGTGGTGGCGGGTGCCTGTAATCCCAGCTACTCAGGAGACTGAGGCAAAAGAATGGCTTGAACCCGGGAGGCGGAGGTTGCAGTGAGCCGAGATTGAGCCACTGCACTCCAGCCTGGGCGACAGAGCAAGACACCATCAAAAACAAAACAAAACAAAACAAAACAAAACAAAAATCTCCTGTCTCTAGGACCAGGCACAATGGCCTAGGCCTGTAATTCCAGCACTTTGGGAGGTCAAAGTGGAAGGATTGCTTGAGGCCAGGAGTTCAAGACTGGCCTGGGCAACATGATGAAAACCCCCTCTCTACAAAAAAATTAAAATTAAACAAATCAGTTGGGCAGGGTGGTGCACCTGTAGTCCTAGTTGCTCTGGAGGCTGAGACAGGAGGATGGCTTGAGCCTGGGAGGTGGAGGCTGCAGGGAGCCATGGTCTCTCCTTCACATTCCGGCCTGGGAGCAAGCCCTTCATCTCTAAAATAATAATAATAATAAAATAAATAAATAAATAAATAAATAAATAAATAAATAAACTGTCTCCAAATCCTTCCATTCTAGTCCAGGCCTCTTTTGAGTTAGCTCTATTTTTTCCTAATACTCATTAAATAAATGCTTAACTATTAAAATAGAAAGTCCTCTGGGCGGGGAATGGGGTGGGGGGCGGCTGCCAGGCCATGGCCAGAGGCTATTATGCACTGGAAACCCCGCATAGCAGAGGGGCAGCCCTGCACCTGCCCCTGTCCAAGGTAGGTGGGTGGTGACTGCAGGCCATGGGAAACGTCCATCCTAGGGGAGTCACCAGCCACCTGGGAAGCCAGGATCAAGGCCCTCCACCCCCAGAGTACAGGAGACAAAGGGAGGAACACCAGGGACAAGGAACCCTAGGACCCGAAGCAAAGTGGCGTTCGCTCACCCGGGAGTGCCACGTTCGTGCCACCGTCACAGCCCTCACCTCCCGCCCGCCAGCACCTGAGACCGGAGTGCTGGGGGGCTGGCTGCAGGCGAAGGAGGTGAGGGCGGATTCGTTTCTCACTGCAACTGCAGCCTCTAGAGCTGGGTGGGCAGGGTCTGGCTCCATGAGCTCAGAGCTGACCCTCTACAAAGATTCCAGGACTTGGGGGCTGGAGACATCTCTCTTCGAAAACAGATTAATCCAGAGGAGCTGTGGGCCCTGTGTTTAGTAAATTGTACTCTGTGTCTTCAGCATAGAAAGTCCTTCCCACTCCCTGCTCAGTATCTCCCAGCCCTCCTAGGAGGCAGGCAAGGCAACTCCAGGACAGTCACCCTAGTTCACAGATGAGGAAACTGGGGTTTCAAGACTGAGACATGAGCGCTCAGCACAGTCCGGGGTGGGGGGCAGCAAGGGGGTATTACTGAGCACCTCTCATGCACTGCCACAGCCCCAGACCTTACCCCACTTCATGCCTGGGACAGCCCGTAAGCTGCGGACTACTGGCCAGGTAAACAAGGGGAAGAATCCTACCCAAGATGTAGCTGATTTGAATTTGTTAAGAATTAAGGCCAGGTGTGGTGGCTCACGCCTGTAATCCCAGCACTTTGGGAGGCAGAGGCAGACGGGTCACCTGAGGTCAGGAGTTCGAGACCAGCCTGGCCAACATGGTGAAACCCCATCTCTACTAAAAATACAAGAAATTAGCCGGACGTGGTGGCAGACGCCTGTAATTCCAGCTACTCGGGAGGCTGAGGCAGGAGAATCGCTTGAACCTGGGAGGTGGAGGTTGCAGTGAGCCGAGATCATGCCACTGCACTCCAGCCTGGGCAACAAAGGGAAACTCTATCTCAAAAATATAAAAAAATTTTAAAAATGTAAAAATTATGGCAGCCCCAATTTCCAACTAAGTTATATTCCAAGGTATAGTCAAAACACATTTTCCCACTGCAACAATGTTATTTTATTTAGATATTGGGGCTTGTCCATCAAGGGCCAGTTAACCCACAACACTCCAGAATTTCTGAACAAGTGTAATGAACAGCTGACAAATATTATTACAACATCAATGGTCAAAATAGAAAAGCAATAGCATTTGATAAGAAATTACTTTTTTTTTTTTTGAGACAGAGTCTTGCTCTGTCACCCAGGCTGGAGCACAGTGGCACGATCTCGGCTCACTGCAACCTCCACCTCCCAGGTTCAAGCGATTCTCCTGCCTCAGCCTCCCAAGCAGCTGGGACTACAAGCACCTGTCACGACGCCCGGCTAATTTTTGTACTTTTAGCAGAGACAGGGTTTCACCATGTTGGCCAAGCTGGTCTCAAGCTCCTGGCCTTAAATGGTCCACCTGCCTTGGCCTCCCAAAGTGCTGGGATTACAGGTGTGAGCCACTGCATCCGGCTGACTTTTTATTTAATATCTTGAATACCTGCCTGAAAATCTGAGGCCGGATGGAAGAATGGACAGAATTGCCCCCACTCTCCTGTTCTGGAATTTAAAGAAGAAAAAAGAGGGGAGGAGGCATCACCTAGTTGGGACCAGGCTTGGGGAAAAAAGGACAGAATTTGCAGACCAAACAGGGAAGCTGTGAAAGAAAAAAGCAAGTCCCTGGCAAGCAGCTCAGCAGCTGGAAATCCCCCTCGGTCCTTGGGAGAGACAATGAGCTCCAGCTGCTCTCAACTGCGATGCAGAGAGAGCTGGTTCCCACCCTGCAGCCGTCCCCGTGTCCTTCTCCTCGCTGAGCCTCACCTCCTCCGCCTGCCACAGAGGCGAGCATCCCGCTTCCTGCCCAGGGATGCAGCGGAGAATGAATATCACCTAGGTAACAACTCACAAGCACAGTGTCTGGCTTCGGGGCGTAGGGGCGGGGACACATGTAATCAATACAAGCCGCCTGCCTGGGTGGCTTCCCCCTTCCCTGATGAAGACCTCCAGGCCGCAGAGAATGCTCTGTTCCTGGTCACAAGGCTGCAGCTGAAGGGCGGGGGAGGCCTCTCAGATTCAAAACAGAGCAGAGATGAGAGGCCTAATTCTAATTTGAGATCAGAGCCTGACAGCTGGGCAGGTGGCAGGCGGCCGCTTCCTCCCCTCCGTGGAGCCTGCCAGGAGAGGGGCTGTGGTCGTATTAAGGGTGTGAGTGGCAAGGCCCGCAGCGGGATGGGCAGTCCCCGCCATGCCAGTGCAGCTCTGTGTAAATCCTTAGTCCCGAGTATCCTCGTGTAACTCAGAGCTGGAAAGAGCCGTAGATCTTCTGGTTCCATGCTTTCATTTTACACATAAGGAAACAGGCCCACAGAGGAAAAGGGCTTTTTGTAGTCACGTGGCGAGGCAGGGGAAGCTGGGCCCAGAATGCAGGGGACCTGCCACCCAGACCCACAGCCAGGACCCCCCAACGGGAAAACGCTCGCTCGGCCACCAAGAGCATTTGATGAATTTGCCTCTAGTCTTTTAAAAATACATATATGCAATTTTATTTTAAAATGTTTTATTTTTATTTTATTTTATTTTTTTTGAAACAGGGTCTCACTCTGTCAGCCAGGCTGGAGTGCAGTGGCATGATCATGGCTCACTGCAACCTCCACCTCCTGGGCTCAAGCGATTCTCCTGCCTCAGCCTCCCAAGTAGCTGGGACTACTACAGGCAGGCATGTGCCACCATACTTAGCTAATATGATTTTTTGTAGAAATGGGGTCTTGCTCACAACAAAGCCCAGGCTGCTTTAAAATTCCCTTGCTCAAATGATCCTCCCACCTCAGCCTCCCAAAGAGTTGGGATTGCAGGTGTGAGCCACTGCACCCAGCCTACATGCAATTCTATTTTATTTTTTTTATTTTTTCATTTTATTTTTGAGACGGGGTTTCGTTCTGTTGTCCAGGCTGGAGTGTAGTGGCGAAATTAAAGCTCACTGCAGCCTCTACTTCCTGGGCTCAAGTGATCCTCCCCCCTCAGCCTCCTGAATAGCTGGGACTATAGGTGTGCATCCCCATGCCTGGCTAACTTTTTTCTATTTTTTTGTAGAGATAGGGCGAGCCACTGTGTTGCCCAGGCAGGTCTCAAACTCCTGGGCTCAAGCAATCCTTTCATCTCGGCTTCCCAAAGTGCTGGGATCACAGGTGTGAGCCATTGTGCCTGGCTGTAATTTTAAATTAATACCTAATTATACTATGCATGAATACATTCTCTTTAAAAAGTTATTTCCTTGCCTCTTGGATATGGTGTGGCTACTTAGTGTTTGTTAAATGTGTGAACAGGTGAATTCTTATTTCTATCATCCCATTCAGGCCCCAATCTTATTACCAGCTCCTCCCTGGATGCCAGCACCTCTCAACGCCCCCTCCCCTAGGACCCTCCTACCAGGACCACTGGATCAGGGCACCCAGGGGCAAGGAGGCCAGTGAGGCTGCTTGAGGGCCCCTCTAATTCCTGCCCCGCTCTTGGTTGGGGCTAGCTTTGGGGCACACTTTGGACTTTTTTTTTTTTTTTTCCAGATGGAGTCTCACTCTGTTGCCCAGGCTGGAGTATAGTAGTGTAATTTTGGCTCAACCTCTGCCTCCTGGGTCCAAGCGATTCTCCTGCCTCAGCCTCCCAAGTAGCTGGGACTACAGGCACGTGCCACCACGCCCGGCTAATTTTTGTATCTTTAGTAGAGACGGGGTTTCACCATGTTGGCCAGGCTGGTCTCGAACTCCTGACCTCAGGGGATCCGCCCGCCTTGGCCTCCCAAAGTGCTGGGATTACAGGCGTGAGCCACCACGCCCAGCCCTTTGGAATTTTTTATCCCAGCCCCAAGCTTGGGACGGGTCTGGGGCACCCAGATACCCTCCCTGTGAAGCCAGGGCCCCCCGCCCTGCTCAACTGCCTGCACACAAGCAGGTGTTCCTCCTTCTCTGTGGCTCCTCTCACCTTTGCTTCCTCTCTCCCGGTATTGGGACGTGGAAAGACATTAAACACCTGGGAGCCCCCAGGGAATAATTCAAATTCAATCATAGAAAATGAAGGCACAAGGCCTGGGCTGCTGGGAGGGCCCGAGGGCCTGGAGATGGAGGCTTGGCAGGCCCAGCACTGCTGAAGCCAAGGGAATGAGTGACTTCTCCAAAAGCAGGTTGAGTCATGCTGAACCTCACTGGTTCCCCAGTAGCAGGAGCATGAGGACCAAGGACGGACCTAGAAGATTCATGGTAGGGGCTGAGGGGAAGAGCAGCCAAGAGTCAGGAGGGTCAGAAGTGTGTCTGATCCCTTGGCAGGGTGCGGTGGCTCACGCCTGTAATCCCAGCACTTTGGAAGTCCGAGGCGGGCGGATCACCTGAGGTCAGGAGTTCAAGAGCAGCCTGGCCAACATGGTGAAAACCCGTCTCTACTTAAAATACAAAAATTAGCCGGGTGTGGTGGCGGGCGCCTGTAATCCCAGCAACTCAGAAGGCTGAGGCAGGAGAATCGCTTGAACCCGGGAGGCGGAGGCTGCAGTGAGCCGAGATCGCGCCACCGCACTCCAGCCAGGGTGACAGAGCGAGACTCTGTCTCAAAAACAGCAATAACAACAAAAGAAGTATGTCTGATTCCTCAGGCCAGAGTAAAAGAGGTTTCAAGAAAGAGGGTGTGGTCAACAGTGCCAGGTGCAGCTAATGTAAAGGAAAAGTGGCCTCCTTTTTCCCTTGACGTGGATGCGTACAAACCCTCCCCTGGGACCAAGCTCAGGGCCGGGCCACGACCAGGGGCCCTCAGGCTAGATCTGGTGCCGGAGGAGACCTGCTGCCGAGGCTGGACGGGTGAGCCTGGAAGGGCGTGGACCCTCCACCCAACCTCAGGGACAAGTGCCTGACACCCCCCTGAGCAGAAACAGGGTGGGACGGAAACCAAACAAATTGCTCCTGAAATCCATGTTTTAGGAATGTTTGGTTTTCAGCTTCTCTTTCCTGCAGCAGGATGTTTAAAGAAAACAAATCTTTAAAGTCTTCTACTCCAAAGCAAAGAGCGCTGTGTGTGCCTACTTCTGGTCTCCGCTTCAGGAACAAACCCCCTTTACTCTCTGGCCTGGATTGGGCGCAAGGCAGCCGGAGCTTCCTGGCCAAGCTGGGCCAGCAGCCCAGGCCCCCACCAAAGGCTCAGAGTGAGCTGGGCACCACCAGGCCTTGAGGCCTTCCAGAGGCTTCTACTCCAGGGCACTCTGAGGCCGGGGGCTGTGGGTGGCTAACAGACTATGCCGCCAGCTGGGAGCAGAGGGGGCCCCATCTCTGCCCCAAATCCAAGTCTGGCCAGCTCCTTCCCCTAGGGATAGATACTTGGTGGGGAAGAGAGGGAGCTGAGAAGGTCACCCAAGAAAGGTGAGCCGGGCCGTCTGCCTGGGAGTCAGAATGAGGTGGCCCATCCTCGGACTTGACCATTTCCCAATGCCCTGTTTAATTTAATTTTTTATTTTATTATATAGGGACAGGGTCTCAATATATTGCCCAGGCTAGTCTCGAACTCCTGGACTCACATGACCCACTTGCCTCGGCCTCCCAAAGTGCTGGGACTACAGGCATGAGCCACCACCCCCACCCCCCAGATAATCTAAATTCAGAGCCTGCAAAAGGCTCAGGGCCCAAGGAGAGAAAATGGAGACAGAAGAGAAAGGGAATTTCTCCCTCCAGGTCCCCACGCCTGAGTCAGACCCTCTCACTGTTTCCTTTACAACCACCGCACACCCACCTGGACCTGGCCTAAGAAAAGGAATACAAGTCCATGAAGGTTCTCCCTTCTTTTTCTTCTTTTTCTTCTTCTTTTTCGTCTTTTCTTCTTCTTCTTTTTCCTCCTCCTCCTCTTCTTCTTCTTCTTTCTTCTTCTGTCGCCCAGGCTGGAGTGTAATGACGCGATCTTGGCTCACGGCAACCTCCACTTCCGTATCTCAAGGAATTCTCCTGCCTCAGCCTCTGGGACTACAGGTGTGCGCCACCACACCCGGCTAATTTTTGTATTTTTTGTAGAGACAGGGTTTCGCTATGTTGGCCGGGCTGGTCTTGAACTCCTGACCTCAGGTGATCCGCCCACCTCGGCCTCCCAAAGCGCTGGGATTACAGGCATGAGCCACCATGCCCGGCCCATCATGTACCCTTCTGATCCTACAAGCGCACTGTGAGGTCGGCCGGGCATGGAGTTTGGTTTCAACTTCACGTTGAGATCGGAGCAGCTCTGAGAGGTCGGGGCTTCATCCAGGGCCACACATCCAGCTGGCAGCAGAGCCACCTGTCCACCCAGCTCTCCGGATGCCCGGCCTGTGCTCCCTACACAGCCGCTTACTGCCCTGCCAGGAAAAGGCAGGCAGGAGGGATCTTTCCACTCCCATTAGGGGCTGAGGAACAGGCATCTAGGAGCTAAATCTGACTGGGGGAGTCTCCCAGCCCAGACAGCCCAGGGCCCTGCCCAGGGGTCAGTGCTTTCACTTGCTGACCTCATGCCTCCACCACTACTCGGGGACAGATGAGGTTCAGCATGACTCAGGTTCAGCCAAAGGATACTAATGGGCCATGGAATAAATCCTGCCTGGAGCCCTGTTCACCTCAGGACTTGTCCTCAGACCATGGACCTTCCTCCCTGGTCACTCAGTCAAGGAATCGCAGGAGATCAGTGCAAGAGTAGCTCTGAATGGGCCGGGCGCGGCGGCTCACGCCTGTAATCCCAGCACTTTGGGAGGCCGAGGCGGGTGGATCACGAGGTCAGGAGATCGAGACCATCCTGGCCAACACGGTGAAACCCCGTCTCTACTAAAAATACAAAAGATTGTCCGGGCGTGGTGGCGGGCGCCTGTAGTCCCAGCTACTCGGGAGGCCGAGGCAGGAGAATGGCGTGAACCCGGGAGGCAGAGGCTGCAGTGAGCCGAGATCGCACCACCGCACTCCAGCCTGGGCGACAGAGCGAGACTCCGTCTCAAAAAAATAAAAAAATAAAAATAAAAAACAGTAGTCCTGAAGCCCCCAGCCCAGCACACCTGGTCTTTGCAGGCCCGAGACACCCACAAGAGTAACAGCAGCGCCTCATTCAGGAGGCTGAGGACTAAGTGAGCAAACGCAGGCCGAGTGCTTCCCCAGGCCTGGACCTCCATTAGCATTCAACTGTGTTGTCATTGCTGTCATTGCTACACTGGAGTCAGATCACTAGGCCTTTAGGAGGAAGAACGTGCCCTTCCTGTTGACAGGCCGGGCCTCTGACCCAGGCGTCTCCTCTCCGTGGGGTGGCAGGAAGGGCCCAGGACTCAGGTGGCAGATCAGGGACCCCCTGGCCTGGCCTCTGCTCAGCTGTGTGATCTTGGGGAAGCCCCGCCTTGCGTCCCCCACCGCCTTGGTTTTCTTCTTGCTGAGAAGTGAGGGAGGTGGCTGGCTGTTCAGCAGGGCCCCTTCCACTTTGGGAATCCCCAGTTTCAGCAGCAGAACTTCCCCAAGCAGAAAGCTGCTGGGAAAGTGGGTGCCCAGGTGGGAGGCGGAAGCCCCAGGGAGAGGCAGACGAAGGTGCCCTGTGCGGGCCCCGCCTCCAGCCTGGTGGACAGTGCCCTGGGTTTCCATGCCCAGACCAGGGCCTTCCTGGAACCGCAGCCAGGACGTGAGAAGCTGTCAGACAGCTGCCTCTGTGTTCCTGGAAGCTGTGGTTCAGGAAAAGTGGGAGGGAGAGAAGGAGGGAGAGAGCAATCGAGGGAGAGCAGAAGAGTGTGAAGAGAAAGAGAAAGACAGGAGGAGGAGCAAGGGGAAGGGAGGAGGCAAGCGTGGAAAGGTGAGAAGAGGTGAGGCAGAGGCCTACGTGGAGAGGCAGAGCCTGGGACGCTGCCTGCGGGGGAGGTCAGGTGAGGAGCAGGGAGGGCGGAGGCTGTGAGCAGCCACCCTGGAACAGAGCTCGGAACACCATTGCTTTTGCCTTCCTTCAGCCTGAAACACTGCCTGGCCACAAAGCAGAAGCAGCAGTTGCTTTCTTAACAGGAGGCAGAGCCGTTGTTGGGTGACCCTCTTCTCATTCCCTTGAAGAATCTCAGCCCATGCCCCCATCCCTTCTGGCCTGGAGACACCAGTGTTGGGGAGTTTTGTGTAAAACAGTAACAAAGACCTCGTGTCCGAAGCAGCACCCTTTACCTCTGTTGTCAGGGCCACAGGGAAACCCGCACCCAGCCGGACAGGAGTCAGAGGCTGTTGTCATGGTAACTGGCATCCCAAGGCCTGGTCTGCCTCCTGCCTCCTTTATCGGGCTATGATGGTCACTGCTTCCTCTGCGAAGCACCTGTCATGTGTGGGGGTTTGTGCCAAGCTCTTTCCATGCACTAGGTAAGCCATGTCATAACCACACGATGAGATACGACTTGTGTGTGTGTGTGTGTGTGTGTTTTCTTCTAGAGATACAATTATTAATCTTACATTACAGGGGGAGAAACCAGGCAGCCCACCTTCAGAGCCCGCGTCTTAACTGTGACCCCACGTTGAAATAAAATGTGGAAACTGCCCACAGACACACCTCGTGGTGGCTACGAGTCACAGGGGCTGCACTTCTGCCTCTTGGGGAGTTGCTTGTTTGCTCCATGCTGGTTTCCTCACCTCAGAAACTAGAATAACAGTTCCATAGAGCAGTCGTGAGGATTGAAGGAGGCAGCCTGGACACTGAGCACAGGCCCTGGCCCAGGCAGGGCTCCATCGAGGGTTTGTTAGTACAGGAGTTCTGGCGAGCCCTCAGCCGCTGGGCTGCTTCCCTCCAGCCATTCCTCTGCATGCTAAGAACTAAAGAGAAGGGAGTCAGACCCAGATGGAGCATGGGTGTCAGGCACTGTGCCCAGCTGCCCATGAGAGCCAGCAAGGTGCCTGTGTCCTTTGAGGTACTAGGATTCTGGGCCCTGGATCCTGCAGTGCGGTGACCTCCCCTTCCCCCATCTGTCCCTGCCCTGCTCCACCCTCAGCCACCTGCAGGGCCCCCACCCAAGGGTCAGGGCAGAGCAGGGCAGAGCAGGGCAGAGCAGGGCAGGGCTGAGTGGGAGGCAGCGGAGGGGGTCATTATCACCGGCAGCACAGGGCTGAAGAGAGTTAAACCTTCTTATCAGTTCCCTGGGCCTGTGCCCAGCCCAGCCCAGCTCTGAGGCACAGGGGCTGGAGAGCAGAGCCCTGGGGTTGCCAGCCAAGCCTGTCTCCTCTGGAATGGCCCAGGACCAGGGATGGGGCAGCGGCCTGGGAACCCGAGAGTCACCAGACTGGCTGCACCGTGTGATCTGATGCAACCACTTCCCTCTCCGGGCCCCAGAGTCCCTGCTTATGAAATTGGGGGTCGGGGGCAGCTGGATGAGGCAGCCCGGGTCCCTTCCTCTCCTAGAGAGTTAGGATCCTGTGATCCCTGGGAGGTGGCTATGACTGTCAGTCCTACAGACGAGGAAGCTGAGGCTACGCACAGGACAGTGACTTCTCCACAGCACACTAGTTGGGCACAGAGAGGAATGATGGGGCTGAGCCCCACCCCACATGCCCATGAAGCTTGTGAGCCTTCCAGAAGGCCCATGGAGGAAAGGCGTGGAGATGGGAGGTCGCTGCCCTGGGCACCCCATCCCAGGGTCTAACCCCTTTCTTCAGGTCCTAGGGGCCAGCTGGGGACCTCTCAGAGGAGCCCTAGACAGTCAGGCACCTGGCGGCTTTGCAGGCCTGGGGTCACTCCTTGGCTCCAGCCCACAGAAGGCAGAGATGGCAGGGCTTCCTGGGCGTATAGACAGTAGGCCCTGTAACTGGGCTCTGATAACACCCCTCCCCTTATCAGTGGGTCAAGGACTGGGTGGGGTGCATCTGAGAATCAAGGGTACATTCCACAGAAACAAGGAAGGGGCAGAAAGGAAAAGTGGGTGCAGCTGAACCGAGGCCTCTCAGCCCGGCTGCAAAGAATCCCGGAGGGGTCCCCTGGCTTAGGGGGGAGAGTGTGGAGTGGTGGGGAGTCAAAGGAAGGGACAGTCTAAGTCTCACTTAACCCTCCAGGAGCCAAGGGGCCTGATCCAAGTGACTTTCCTGAAGAAACCTTAGAAATCCTAGGCTGGGGCCGGGCGCCGTGGCTTATGCCTGTATTCCCAGCCCTTTGGGAGGCTGAGGTGGGCTTATCACTTGAACCCAGGAGTTTGAGACCAGCTTGGCTAACATGGTGAAACTCTGTCTCTACTACAACTACAAAAATTAGCTGGATATGGTGGTGCACACCTGTAATTCCAGCTACTCAGGAAGCTGAGGCACGAGAATCAGTTGAATCCAGGAGGAGGAGGCTGCGGTGAGCCGAGATCGCACCACTGCACTCCAGCCTGGGCGACAGAGCAAGACTCCGTCTCCAAAAAAAAAAAAAGAAATCCCAGGCTGGGAGGGACAGAGAGACCTAGAATCCACATTTAGAGCAGGAGGCCATTGCCCTCAGAGGGTTCATGGTCTCCTTTGACACTATGAGGAAAATTATGTCTGCCCAGTGGGGAAATTGAGGCCCAGCGTGTGAGGGGAAATGACTCACAGCTGGCTTAAGGCTTGAAAGGCCCCTGCCTGAGGCTGAGTGTGTCCCCTGCATACCTGGAGGCGAGGACCAGTAGGTGCCGTCCTGAACTAAGGGACAGGGTGGCAGAGGAAGGTCAGGGCCTCCCCAGATACTGGGCCTGGGCTTCTTTGCCCCTGTGGGCTGGGACTCCAGGCAGGCACCACTTCTTCAACCAGCCAGTTCCATAATTCACATCCCGGCCTTGGCCCAGGCTCCTGGACCCCCTCCCCCGTGGCCCATGCCAGGCAGGTGGGTGAGGCTGGGCCTGCACAGGGAAGGGTCTGAAGCCTGCAGGGTCGGTTGTGGCAGGACCCATTGGGCTGGAGATCTGGAGGGACGTCCTGCATCACCAGCGGTAGAGAGGACAGGGGCTGGGCCAGCGTCCCCCTGAGAATGCGCTCACACCCCAGCACACAGACACACACACCTCCGCGGCACCTGGGGGTGGCTCATCTGAACCCTTGGGTGACATCCTTCTGCCCCCACCCTCCTCCACACCCTGGTTTCACCCGGATACGAAGGTGGCAGGAAGCAAACAGTGTGACTTGGGCCCATTTTGACGCTCCAGGTGGCAGAATCACTGGAACACCTGATAAAAATTCCCACCCTCCCCTGACACGGAAAGGCTGAGCCAGAAGAGCCTGGCAGAAGGGACTTCCCTGAAGAAAGGGGCCCAGGTCAGTCTCGAAGGTGGTCCTTGGAGAAGCTCTGGGTGGTGTGTCAGCTGCGTGGTGGAGAAAATCATCATGATGACACTGACCGCGCTCACTGTGTGCCTACCGTGTACCTGTGTCCCGATGTTTTGCATGAAACACCTCATTCCGGCCTCTGCCAGCCTTCCAGAAAGATGCATTATTCCCAGTCCCACGGTCACATTCTGGCCGCTAGCAGAGCCACAGTTAGATGTGTCCCCCCGACCCCCCCAACCCCAGGGGCCTGAAGACTTGTGGGGCCTGGGACCACCCCAGGGGCAAGACCAGAACCAGCTCCTGACCTCCCACCAGGAAAGAGGGACCAGGGTGAGACACAGCTGCAGGAAAGATGCAAGGCTGGGCCGTGGTGGAGAACGCCCCCACCCCTCCACTTCCCCAGGACGCGGCAGGCAGGAGGGGGCCACTCCCAGCCTCAGGGCCCCAGAAATGGTAAGGCCAGCCCTAACCCCACCCCAGAGGCTCCAGAGAGGCAGGGCTGGACCAGGCCAGGCCTGGTGAATCCCTGGGCTGCGAGCGCCCCCTGCAGCCAGACAAAGGTGTGGCCGGGCAGAGGCCAGGTGCTCCCCAACCTCGGACACCCCGACATTGGTGGATTTTCCTCTTCCATCATCTCCAGCCCTAGCTGGGAGCTAGGCCAGTCAACTGCTGCAATTATTATTATTATTATTATTGTCTGTTGTTGTTGTTGCCCTTTTTTTTTTTTTGAGACAGAGTCTCACTCTGTCACCCAGGCTGGAGTGCAATGGTGTGGTCTTGGCTCACTGCATCCTCCAACTGCCGGGTTCAAGCAATTCTCCTGCCTCAGCCTCCCTAGTAGCTGGGACTACAGGCATGTACCACCAAGCCCAGCTAGTTTCTGTATTTTTTACTAGAGACAGGGTTTCACTATGTTGGCCAGGCTGGTCTCGAACTCCTGACCTCAGGTGGCCTCCGGCCTCCCAAAGTGCTGGGATTACAGGCGTGAGCCACCACGCCCAGCCTATTGTTGCCCAATTTTAAGGAGGAGAGAAATGTTAGGTGTCTTGTCCAAGGTCACAGAGCCAGGTGGTGTCAGGTCCTGAACTCAGGCCTCCACAGATCCTGGGTCCTCCATCCCGGAAGGTCTTTGTCCCGGCCCATTAGAGCCTCCTCCAAGCCCTCACCCAGGACGGACATGCGCAGCGTGACAGTTGTAAGAGGCAGGCAAGAGTATTTAATGGGCATTGAGGGTCTTGGCAGTCCCACCAGGGGAGTGGGCAAAGGGCAAGGCACAGAAAGGCTTCCACTCAGGGCTCAGGAAGTGGGAGGTAAGGAGGCAGGTTCAGGAGGCGGGTTCAGGAGGCGGGTTCGGAGGTGAGCTCAGGTGCTGGTGCTGTGGGCATCTCCGGGTGCACAGGGGCGAGAGGAAGGCCGAACCTCGCCTGGGGGCTCCTGCAGCAGCAGGGGCAGCACTGGGCCCGTGTGGAACTAAACACAGAACAGGGGCATGAGTGCTCTCAACAAGACCCCGCCCCGCAGCTCGTGCCAGGTCTCCTGCTCCTGGAGGCAAAGGGAGCGGGCTGGCCCCACAGAATGTGCTGCAGAGGCCCCGGGGCGCAGGGGTTGCCCAGCCCCACGGTGGCCTCCTGATGCTCCACCTCCATGTCTCACGGGGCTTCGAGTCAATGTTTCCTTTAAATAAAAGAGTCTCCCGCCACCCGCACCCCCTGGCCAAATTATAAACCACGAGACTCATCTCAGTCCTGCGAGTAGGTGACTGGCCTGAGGCCCATCAGCACATGTAGTGGGGGAGTCATCCTCCATTTGTCTTTGTGACTCCAGGGACTCCTGGGTGTATTCTAGAGGCCTGGGCCCTGCTTCCAACGCCCCTCCAGTGTAGAACCCTCCTCCCCCCAAGCTCGGAGCGCTCCAGCTTCAGGGTCAGCCAAACCTCAGGGGCCTCCCCCCACACCCTCACAACCTGCAGACACCCCCCTCCCGACACGCACAGACACCCACGCACACACACGCTTCTTACCTCCTGGAGAGCTGCAGCCTCACCACGCCCCGGGGGTCCCTTCCCTGCTTTGTAGGGACCCAGAGGTTGGGGCTGGGGGGTTGAGAGCAGAGGGGGACATTGGAGGGTGCAGATTCGGCATGGATGTCCAGTCAGGCCCCACCACTCTCTGCAGCTGGACAGCTTCAGCCATGTACCTGGGGAGCAGCAGGCCAGATGCAGGGGCCACCGTCCTCCCTGGTCCGGCTCCCCTGCCCGCCTCAGCTTGGGAAGCACACGGCCCAGGGCTTAGCTCTGCAGGAAGCTGAGGCCAGCCTCATCCAGGATGCAGCAGCCCTGTATGCCATAGTGGGGCAGGAACACACAGAGCCAAGGACGTAGGGAGGCCCCAGAGCTCCCAGTGCCCTGGAGAAAACCCCAGAGGAGCAGGAACAGTGAGTGTAAGGGCCTGGGGCTGTGGTAAGGAGCCAGGGTGAACCCACCTCTGCCCCACCCCCAGGGTTCACCAGTTGGGCCTCTGGCTTGCCAACTCACTTGGGTCCCAGTGGTGCACAAATTGTTAAATACCAGTTGCTGGCACAGCCCTGGTCGAAGGGGTTGTATCCCTGAAGGTGTCTGCACTGGTCGGGGATGGAAACCGGAAGAGGAGCTCAGAACCAGCAGGAATGGCTGGGCCATCGCCCAGTGGCCCTCCCTGAGCTGGTCAGCTAGCCAGGGCTCAGCCCAGGGCACCAGCAAGCTGGAGGCCAGGAGACTGAAGGACCTCCCCACCACTGCCCCATCCTCCTCCTCTTGGTCTCCACTGGCCACACACATCCTCCTGCTACCTCCTTCCAGATACTGAATGTCACTGTCTGGAAGGTCAGTTGAGCAAGGCCCAGTCGTATTTCCCTAACCATGATCACATGGCCCAGGAAAATCTGGGCTAAAAGCCTTGAACACGCAATGCGGTAAAGGCCAAGTCGTCCCCTGGGCACTCTTGACCTTGATCAGGTTCTCTCCCTCCTCTCTCCCCTTCGCCCACTCACTCTACCCATCCACCTCACCCCCTCCCAAACTCCCTCTCCGCCACAGGGCAGGCTGGGCCTCACCTGACTTCAAGAGCCTTTGCTGTCATGTTTTGTCACTGAAAGTGGCCCAGCAGCATCTCTGCCCACCACCAACTCCCCTGTGTCCCATGTCCCCGCTCTCCGCCGCAAAGGCTGAGATTTTCAACACCATTCTCCACCAAAGGAACCAGGACTCCATGCAAGGACAGCTGGCACTCACTGGAGGGAGGAAAAGTCTGGACAGCTCCATAACAGCTCACTGTCGCCACTCACTGTTGCCATAGGGCAATACGCATCCTTGCACTATTTGAGATTCTGCCTACTTTAAGGTATTTAAAGCATGTAAAAGAAACGTATTGGCCGGGTGAGATGGCTCACGCCTGTAATCCCTGCACTTTGGGAGGCCGAGGCAGGTGGATCACTTGAGGTCAGGAGTTTGAGACCAGCCTGGCCAACATGGTGAAACCCCATCTCTACTAAAAATACAAAAAATTAGCCAGGCGTGGTGGCGGGTGCCTGTGATCCCAGCTACTCGGGAGGCTGAGACAGAAGAATCGCTTGAACCCGGGAGGCGGAGGTTGCAGTGAGCCGAGATCATGCCACTGCACTCCAGCCTGGGCGACAGAGCGACACTCTGGCTCAGAAAAAAGAAACTGGTATTGTATTAGTCATTTAGAAGATTTTGATTAAATTTATGGAATTTGGGCCAGGCATGGTGATTGGCACCTGTAATCCGAGTGTTTTGGGAGGTGGAGAAGGGAGGATCTCTTGACCCCAGAAGTTCAAGACCAGCCTGAGACTTTCATCTCTAAAAAAATAAAAATAGGTGGCTGTGGCATTGTGCACCTGTAGTCTCAGCTTCTTGGGAGGCTGGGATGAGAGGATCCCTTGAGCCTAGGAGTTCGAGGCTGCAGTGAGCTATGATTACGCCACTGCACTCCAGCCTGAATGACAGAGTGGGACCCTGTCTCTAGAAAAACTAAAATCTAATAAAAATATATTGACAGAATTTTAAAATTTAGGGATATATATATATATATGTATATATATATATAATTTTTTTTTTTTTGAGATGGAGTCTTGCTCTGTCACCCAGGCTGGAGTGCAGTGGCGCGATCTCAGCTCACTGCAAGCTCCGCCTCCCAGGTTCACGCCATTCTCCTGCCTCAGCCTCCCAAGTAGCTGGGATTACAGGTGCTCGCCACCACGCCCAGCTAATTTTTTGTATTTTTAGTAGAGACGGGGTTTCACCGTGTTAGCCAGGATGGTCTCGATCTCCTGACCTCGTGATCCGCCCACCTTGGCCTCCCAAAGTGCTGGGATTACAAGCGTGAGCCACCACGCCTGGCCTTTTTTTTTTTTTTTTTTAGACGCAGTTTTGCTCTTGTTGCCCAGGCTGGAGTGCAGTGATCATAGGTCCTCACAAATTCAAACTCCTGGGCTCAAGGGATCCTCCCACCTCTGTCTCCCAAGTAGCTGAGACTACAGGCATGCACCACTATGCCCAGCCAATTTTTAATTTTTTTTGCAGGAATGGGGTCTGGCTATGTTGCCCAGGCTGGTCTTGAACTCCTGGCCTCAAGCGATCTTCCCACCTCAGCCTTTCAAAGGGCTGGGATTACAGGTGTGAGTCACTGTACCCGGCATTAGGGAAATAAATTTTTATTTATTAGATGTATATAAGGTATAGAAAAATGTTGATTGTATATGAGGCATAGAAAAATGCTTAAAGGAATGATGATCTTTAATAAATTCATAAGACTGACCCATACATTTTTCTTTTTTTTGAGACGGAGTCTCACTGTGTCGCCCAGGCTGGAGTGCAGTGGCACGATCTTGGCTCACTGCAACCTCCGCCTCCCGGGTTCAAGCGATTCTTCTGCTTCAGCCTCCCAAGTAGCTGGGATTACAGGCACCCACCATCACGCCCAGCTAATTTTTGTATTTTTAGTAGAGACGGGGTTTCACTGTGTTGGCCAGTCTCGAACTCCTGACCTCATGATCCGCCCACCTCGGCCTCCCAAAGTGCTGGGATTACAGCCGTGAGCCACCGCACCGGGCCAAAACTGACCAATACATTTGTACCTGCCTCTCCCACGCAAGATGCTTTCAGATATGAATGAAACCAACAGCTCTTGGCCGGGCACCGTGGCTCACACCTGTAAT
This sequence comes from Homo sapiens, assembly GCF_000001405.40. Lineage (NCBI taxonomy): Eukaryota > Metazoa > Chordata > Mammalia > Primates > Hominidae > Homo > Homo sapiens. The sequence goes on from NC_000003.12 coordinate 196,201,470, forward strand.
CCCAGCACTTTGGAAGGCCAAGGCGGGTGGATCACTTGAGGCCAGGAGTTCGAGACCAGCCTGGCCAACATGGAAGAACCCGGTCTACTAAAAATGCAAAAATTAGTCGGGCATGGTGGCATGTGCCTGTAATCCCAACTACTCAGGAGGCTGAGGCAGGAGAATCGCTTGAACCTAGGAGGTGGAGGTTGCAGTGAGCCGAGATAGCACCACTGCACTCCAGCCTGGACGACAGAGTGAGACTCTGTCTCAAAAAATAAAAAAAGAAAAAGAAACCAACAGCTCTGAAGCACTCAGACTGTCCACCTCACTGTCTCCAGACCTGGGGCTCCTGCTCCGATTCTGTGTCTGAAACTGCCTGACACTCCACGGGACCAAAGCCAGGGTGAGCTGCTTCTTGCTCCGTCTCCCACCCAACCCCCCTCTCCCCATTCCCCGCCAGGGATCAGGGCATCTGGCTTCTCTCTCTTTTTGTCTTTTCGTCCCTCCCAAAGTGCTATGGATTCCTTTGTTGGTTGGTTCACTCACTGTTTCAGGAATATTTTGGGGCCTTAAAAATGTTCCAGGGGCCGGGCGTGGTGGCTCATGCCTGTAATCCCAGCACTTTGGGAGGCCAAGATGGGTGGAGCATTTGAGGTCACAAGTTCAAGACCAGCCTGGCCAACATAGTGAAATCCCGTCTCTAATAAAATACGAAAATTTTTAGTAGGGTGTGGTGGTGCACGCCCGTAGTTCCAGCTGCTTGGGAGGCTGAGGCCGGAGAATCACTTGAACCCAGGAGGTGGAGGCTGCGGTCAGCCGAGGTGACGCCATTGCACTCCAGCCGGGACAACAGCGTGAGAGACTCCGTCTCAAAAAGGAAAAAAAAAAAGTTCCAAGGGCTGGTCTGAAAGCAGTGGTTTATCTCGCCTGTTCAGTAAGTTACAGACCCAATTCCTTGTTCTACTCTTTCCTCGCTGCTCACTACTGTCCTTGCCGTCAAGAAAAAATAAAAATAAAAAAAGGAAAGTTCCAGTCACTGTGCTGGGGGTTGAGGACGCACTGCACACGACATATCCCGGGCCAGCCTCAACCTTCAGGGTGGCGAGGGCAGCACCGAGGGAAGGAGCAGGAACCCAGGCAGAGGCGCCCAGGCACACGCAGAGGAGCCGCGCAGGAGGCCAGAGGCTGAGCCCTGAGGGGCGGGGACAGGCCGCTTCCCTGCGTGCAGTTTCACAAGCTCAAGCTGCTGTGTGCGGTCCGGAAAGAGTAGTATGAGGCCTGACCACTGGCTTTGGCCGCCTGGTGAGAGCAGCATCCGTGTGACAGTGAGCACAGCGGCCGGCTGAAGCTGCCGGGGAAGGGGGAGAGTGGGGCAAGTGAGCACTGCCGGCCCTGTCAGGAGACTTGGCTGCTGGAGAGCAGAGTAGAGCAGCGGGAGTGGAGGCTGGCGATGTTAAGGGAGGGTTTTGCTTTGCTTTTAAGATGAGAGAGACAGGAGCATGTGTAAATGGTGATGAAAATGAATGGTGCCAGGCGCAGTGGCTCAGCCTGTAATCCCAGCACTTTGGGAGGCCGAGGCGAGTGGCTCACCTGAGGTCAGGAGTTCGAGACCAGCCTGGCCAACATGGTGAAACCCCGTCTCTACTAAAAATACAAAAAATCAGGTGGGCATGGTGACGTGCACCTGTAATTCCAGCTACTCGGGAGGCTGAGGCAGGAGAATCGCTTGAACCCAGGAGGCCAAGATCACACCACTGCACTCCAGCCTGAGTGACAGAGAAATACTCTGTCTCAAAAAAGAAAAAAAAAGAAAGAAAGAAGAAAGAAAGAGAGAGAGAAATTGAACGGTATTAATAGTAGCGACATCTAGAGCACTCACTTGTACCAGCTGCTACTCTATGTCTTAAACTCACCCATGCTGCCCATTTTACAGTTGGGGAAAGTGGACGCCTAGGTGGCTAAGTAATATACCCAGGATCTCTCTGCTGGTATGCTGTGGAGCTGTGATGTGAACATGTGTGAACTGGATCCAGAGACCTTGCTATCAACCACAGGCAGAGTTGCAGCCCAGGGATGGAGGAGGAAGGGAATGAGATTTGGGGCATGTGAAGAAGGCCTGAGGCAGGTGCTGCGGGCTGCGGGAAGGAGCCCTGCCTGGTGAATCGCAGGCCACGTTAGGGTCCCTGGAGGCTGGAGATCCTGGATCAGGAGGGCAGCATTCTGGGCAGGGGAGGGAGGGCAGGAAGAACCACAGGATGTGAGAAGGGCGAAGGCTGCCCAGAAAAGGCTGAAACGATGCACTGAGGCTGGGGAGGGTCCACATGCAGACCAGAGCGGGCTGATGAGGAAGGGCGGAGCTGGGGAGTCACAGGTGGGGGAGCCAAATATGGGTGTGGTGGAGTGATTGAAGGGTGACTGGGATGGGAGGTGGTGGGCAGAGAGGGCGCCTGTGTCCTTCCAGCTGTCTGATACCTGCAGCTCCTCCCTCATCAATGCTGCCCATCAGTTTTCCTAGAACAGCCAGTGACCTGCTGAAGGAGTCTCATGGCGCGGATGTCCACCCTCACCACTCCTGCTCCACATTGTGCTAGAGGTCCAAGACAGTGCAATAAGAAGAGAAAAAAATAAAGCCATACAGATTGGAAAAGAAGAAGTGAAACTGTCCTTTTTCACAGACAACAGGATTTCCTATGTAGAATCAACAAAAAAGCTATTGGAACTAATAAATGGGTCTAGCAAAATGGCAGGATTCAACACCAATTCAAAAAAATCCATTGTATTTCCTTATAATAATGAACAAATGGAAATTGAAATTTTAAAAAACATGCTTACAATAGCACAAAAAAAGAAATACATATAAATCTAACAAAATGGATACAAAATCTATATGCTGAAAAACACAAAATAAGGATGAAAGACATCGAAGAAGACGTAAATAAATGGAGAGGTGTGGCATGTTCATGAATTCACTCAATCTTGTTAGAATGTCAATTCTCCCCAAACTGATCTATAGGCTCAATGAAATTCCAGTGAAAATCCTAGCAGATTTTTTTGTAACAAATAATAAGGAAACAATACAATTTTTTAAATGGACAAAAGATTGGAACAGACACTTCACCATAGTTACACAGATGGCAAAGAAGAACATGAAAATATGCTTAAACCATTAGTCATTAGGAAAATACAAACTGAAGCCACACTGAGATGCCACTACACATGTCTTATACCGGCTTAAACAAAAAACAACTGACAACATCAAACGTTCGTAAGGATGCAAAGCAATTGGAATTCTTATATATTACGGGTAGGAATGCAAAATAGTACCACTATTTTGGAAGACAATTTGGCAATTTATTATGAAATTAAACATTCAGGCCGGACACAGTGGCTCACGCCTATAATCCCAGCACTTTGGGAGGCTGAGGCAGGCAGATCACTTGAGGTCAGGAGTTCCAGACCAGCCTGGCCAACATGGTGAACCCCATCTCTACTAAAAATGCAAAAATTAGCCCGGCGTGGTGGCTCACACCTGTTGTCTTAGCTACCTGGGAGGCTGAGGTGGGAGGATCACTTGAATCTGGGAGGTGGAGGTTGCAGTGAGCCAAGATCGAGCCACTGCACTCCATCCTGGGTGACAGAGTGAGACTCCATCTCAAACGAACAAACAAAAAACCACATTCAATTACCATATGACCCCTTCAAGTATTTACCCCAAAGAAATGAAAACTTATGTTCACATGCCTGTACACCAGTGTTTATAGCAGCTTTATTTATTATAATCCCCCAAACTAGAAATAACACAAACATCTTCAATTGGTAAATGGATAATCTATTGAACATCCATACAATGCAATACCGTACGGCAATCAAAAGGAATAAACGACTGCTATGAGCAACAACATGAATGAATCTCGAATGTATTGTGCTAAGTGAAAGAAGCCAGACTCACAAGCCAACAATTTCAGTTATTCTGGAAAAGGAAAGTGATAAGGACAGAGGACAGATCAGTGGTTGCCAAAAGCCACAGGTAGGGGGAGAAATTGACTACAAAAGACCATGATCTCTGATTTTTGGGTGGGATGGACCTGTTCTAAATATTGATTGTGGTGGTGGCTGCAGGACTGTATCCGTGTGTCAGAACTCATACTGTATACTAGAAAAGGATGAGTATTACATAGGTAGATTATTGCTCAATAAACGACTTTTTGTTTTGGTTTTTGTTTGTTTTGAGACAGAGTCTGGCTCTGTCTCCCAAGCTGGAGTGCAGTGGCATGATCTCAGCTCACTGCAGCTTCTGCCTCCCAGGTTCAAGAGATTCTCTGCCTCAGCCTCCAAATAGCTGGGATTACAGGCACATGCCACCATGCCTGGCTAATTTTTGTATTTTTTGTAGAGACAGGGTTTCGCCATGTTGGCCAGGCTGGTCTCGAACTCCTGACCTGGCCTCAAGTGATCCACCCACCTCGGCCTCCCAAAGTGCTGGGATTGCAGGTGTGGGCCATGCACCCGTCCAATAAACTTGGCTTTTAAGAAATTCTACCCTGGCTCTCATACCATGATTTCATCATCAAGCCTAAATTCTCCACCTGACTTTCTGGGGTTGTTTTGTTTTGTTTTTGAGACAGAGTCTCAATCTGTCACCCAGGCTGGAGTGCAATGACACAATCTCGGCTCACTGCAACTTCTGCTTCCCAGGTTCAAGCGATTCTTGTGCCTCAGTCTCCCGAGTAGCTGGGACTACAGGTGTGCCCCACCACACCTGGCTAATTTTTGTATTTTTAGTAGAAACAGGGTTTCACCTTGTTGGCCAGGCTGGTCTCGAACTCCCAGTCTCAGGTCATCTGGCCACCTCGGCCTCCCAAAGTGCTGGGATTACAGGTGTGAGCCACTGCACCCAGCCTGGGCATTTTTTTTTAAGACAGGGTCTTGCTCTATTGCCCAGGCTGGAGTGCAGTGGTGCAATCACAGCTCACTGACTGCAGCCTCCATCTCCCGGGCTCAAACAATCCTCCCACCTCAGCCTCTGGAGTAGCTGGGACTAAAGGCACGTGCCACCGTGCCTGGCTAATTTTTTAATTTTTTGTAGAGATGAAGTCTCGTTTTGTTGCCCAGGCTGGTCTCAAACTCCGGGGCTCAAGTGATCCTCCTGCCTCAGCCTCCCAAAGCGCTAGAATTACAGGCATGAGCCACGGGGCACAGCTTGGAACTTTTTCTTTTCTTTTCTTTTCTTTTTTTTTTTTTTTTTTTGGAGGCAGAGTCTCGCTCTGCTGCCCAGGCTGGAGTGCATGGTACGATCTGGGCTCACTGCAAGCTCCGCCTCTCCGGTTCACGCCATTCCCCAGCCTGGACCTTTTTAATGTGGCCAACAGAAGCAGTCGACTTGGTTGCCCACACCACCTTCTTGCCCCAGTTAGAATTGTTTCCTCTCCATCCTATCAACATTCCACAGACTTTCAGGCTTCCCTGAGTTTTTGCAAAGGTGTCCCCTCACCCGCAATGCCCTCCTCTCCGTCTTCTGTCTCTCCCGAACCCCTAAGCTGCACGTCCTACCCTACCATGTGGTCCTCCCTCAACCCTCAATGCCTGAGTCTGCGCCACACAGCTCAGGACCGGCCCCCTCTCTGAGTGTTCGTGGGTATCTGGTGGGTGTTACTCTGATTTCAGGTTCCTCATCAACACGAGTGTGGAATGTAGCCTTACTCACCTCTATTCCCATCGCTCAAAGAATCCAAACCGCCTAGCACACAGTAGGCCCCCAGGAAGGACAGGGACCACTGAGCTCCCGGAGGAGGCGAGATTGGAGCCTCTTAAGAGCTGGGTCTGGAGGGACCTAACGAGGCACCATCGCGGGTGGGGGTCAGGCTATCAGGGCCAAGGGCAGTGGAGAAAGCGCGGGAAGCGCGGAGGTCCCCGAGGTGCAAGCTGACCACCCGCGGCCCCGCGTACCTTGCCCTTGTAGGTGCGGTCGGCCGAGCTCACGGACAGTGCCTGGATCAGCAGCAGGAGGGACAGCGGCACCAGGAGGCCCGCGGCGGACACGGCCACCACGATGCTGCGCGGGTTAAGGAACCGGGCTGCGGGACCCCCACGCCTGGCCCCGCCCCCCAGGCCCGACTCCGCCCCGAGCCCCGCCCCGCCCCCGGACGCCCGCCCCTCAGGCCCGACTCCGCCCCGAGCCCCGCCCCGCCCCTGGCCCCGCCCCCAGGCCCGACTCCGCCCCGAGCCCCGCCCCGCCCCCGGACGCCCGCCCCTCAGGCCCGACTCCGCCCCGAGCCCCGCCCCGCCCCTGGCCCCGCCCCTCAGGCCCGACTCCGCCCCGAGCCCCGCCCCGCCCCCCGGACGCCCGCCCACCCGCCCCGTCCCCTGGCTCCACCCTCATCCCGCCCACCCCCTTGAAAGCCTGACTCCACCCCGCTGTCCCCGCCCGTCCAGATCTGCGGTGCACCTTTAGCACCCGCTCCGTGACCCCGCCAGATTCCTTTTTCTTTTCTTTTCTTTTCTTTTGAGGCACAATCACCGCTCACTGCAGCCTCGACCTCCCTCCCCGGTTCAAGCGGTCCTACCACCTCAGCCTTCCAGGTAGCTGGGACTATAGGCGCGAGCCATCACGCCCGGCTAATTTTTCTATTTTTTTGTAGAGACGGGGTCTATGTTGCCCAGGCTGGTCTGGGTCTCGGGCTGAAGCGATCCTCCCGCCTCGGCCTCCCAAAGTGCCGGAATTACAGGCGTGAGCCACCGCGCCGGCCCGGGGGAGGCTTAACGCTCCGCCCCTTCTCCTAGCCCCGCCCATCCCCCGACCCCGCCCACCTCACCTCGTCCCAGACTGGTCCTCCCAGGCGGCTTCTCCCTCTAGCCCCGCCCCCATAGCCCCGCCCTCTGCAGCCCCCTCCTTGGCTGTCCCCGCCTCCTCTCCTGCTTCCCCACGTGGGCGGATACGCGATGGCCTTGTCGGTGGAGAAGGGCAGGTGGGTTGTGCGCACCAGGAAGATGAGACAGGTGACCAGCATGGCGCCCGAGTAGAGGCACAGGGACAGGACAAGCAGCATGAAGAAGCGGAAGTTGCGGTGACCGATGCAGTTATTGACCCACTTGCAGTGGTGGTCAAAGTCCTGGGCGACAGGGAGAGGGGCCAGGCTTGAGGACTTCTCCTCTGGCCCAAATTCCATCACCCCAAATCCTGAGGCCCTCCCCCTGCCTTCTAGGCCACCTGCCCTTGGCCCATGCACTGGCTTCCACCCCCAGGGAGAAACTGAGCCACAGAATGCCTCATGCTGGCATTTCCCTTGTTAGAGCACAGTTAGGACTCTGGTATATACGGTCACCTGTCAGAAGACCTTTAGAGAGAAGACTGGCCTGGCCTTCTGTGAGACACATCCTACTGTAACTCTGGGCAGAACGTAAACCATCTCTGGACCTCCACTTTCTCATCCATTCGATGAAGATGACAGTAACAGTAACACCCTTGCCCAGCCAGCCTCCTGCACTTGTAAACCTATGCAAGCCGTGCTCTCGAGAGAGATGGTCACTCAGAGCCAGGAGACCCTCCAACTTGGACACCCAGGCGAGGACAGGCAAGGCCTCCCAGACCAGGCGGGCAGCCAGCCTGAGGGGCTTGGGTATCTCGTGTTAGCGAGCCCAGGGGTGGGACAGAGGGCTGCCTCTCCTCCCCTGGCCTGACCCAGCCCAGGACAGATGCGGATGCCCTGTGCATGTCAGCACCTCTGCAGGCAACGGCCAGCCTCCCAGGACAGGTGCAGGTGGAGAACACATGAGTGACCAAGGGTGGCTGGGAGTTACTGCCACCCTTGGCCTTTAGCAGTCCTGAAAACAGCTTCACACCCAGCCCTGGCCCCTGTATGAGGGAGGCTCCTGGTCCCAGCCAGATGTGGGGCGATGGCTGGTGGACAGGTAGAGGGGCACTCACCTCCACACAGATGTTGCACCAGGGGCAGTGGTAAGTCCGGGGCGGGCGGTGGAAGCAGCACTTTGGACACCATTGCAGGCGGAAGGCCCCGTGGTTCACCCACACCACGTGCACCGTCAAGGGGCCCTGCTCAGCGGAGCCTGGCGTGGGAAGAGGATTGGGCACAGCAGAAGGCCCTGCGGTCACCCCGCGGCGGGGGCAGCTCCACGGCATCACAGGGCACAAGGAAGGGTGGGGACAAGGTGGGCAGGGGAACCCCTGTCCCCACTGAGCAAGCTGTCCAAGCTCAGAGAGGATGGCAGTCAAAGGGAAGACGGGTTTCCAGCCAGGAGAGTTTTGTATGAAACTCAGGCGTTTGGAACAGTGAGTGCTGCTTTGAGTGTCATTGTGTAGTGAAGGGAGGAAGTGCATACAGTGGTTTGGAAGAGCCCACTGGCTTCTGGCCCTGGCCTGCCCGGTCCTCCCATCTAAGGCAACTGGGAAACCTCAACAATTCTGTTTTTCCACACCTTGGTGGCTTAAGAAACGGGGTAGGGCCGGGCGCGGGGGCTCACGCCTGTAATCCCAGCACTTTGGGAGGCCGAGGTGGGCTGATCATGAGGTCAGGAGTTCGAGACCAGCCTGGCCAATATGGTGAAACCCCATCTCTACTAAAAATACAAAAAATTAGCTGGGCGTGGTAGCATGCTCCTGTAGCCCCAGCTACTTGGGAGGCTGAGGCAGACGAATCGCTTGAACCTGGGAGGTGGAGCTTGCAGTGAGCGGAGATTGCGCCACTGCACTCCCGCCTGGGCAGCAAAGCGAGACTCTGTCTCAACAAAAAGAAAAGGAAAGAGAGAAAGAAAGAAGAAAGGAAAGAAGGAAAGAAAGAAAGAAAAAGAAAGAAAGAAAAGAGAAAGAAAGAAAGAAAGAAGGAAGGAAGGAAAGAGAGAGGAAGAAAGGAAAGAAGGAAAGAAAGAAAGAAAGAAAAGAGAAAGAAAGAAAGAAGGAAGGAAGGAAAGAGAGAGGAAGGAAGGAAAGAAAGAGGGAGAGAGAGAGGAAGGAAGGAAAGAAAGAAAGAGAAAGAAAGAAAGAAAAGAGAAGAGAAGAAAGAGTGAGCGAGGGCCAGAGCAATGAAGACGTGGGGTGAAGGGGTCCAGAGGCTGGAGGAGGGTCAGTAGGAAGAGCACTTTAGGAATCCCCCCTGCAGGTTCCCAGCCCTTGAGTGACACCTCCTTTTCCCAGGGGGCTGATGCCTCACCTTGATGTAAGATGCCAGGGTCTGAGAAGTTGAGTGAAACAAGACTGAAGAAGGTAAGGACAAAGAGGGAGCCTGTGATAACAGGAAAGGCCCACTCCCCGTTCTGAGCCAGCCACCTGCAACTGAGACCAGAGGCAGGCTCGGTCCTGAGCAGGGGCAGCCCAAAGCCCCCGGCCCAAGGCCTGTGGCTTGCTCAGGTCAGGACCCACAGACCTTCAAGCCAGATCTAAAAATCCAGGCTCCAAATACCCAGGCAGACTCATAATGGCTCCACCAAATGTCACCAGCATGACCAGCCACCCAAAGCTCCCAAAATGCACAGGCACCCTTGACCTCTGCGCCTTTGCACGTCGGTTCCTGGAACAGAATATCCCCTTTTCCCTGCCCGCACCCTTGACCTCTGCACCTTTGCACGTCGGTTCCCTCGAACAGAATATCCCCTTTTCCCTGACCTCTCCCCCGGTCTTCTGCACTCCCCTGCCTCCATCCTATCATCTTCTGTTTCCCTGGCTGTCTCTTTGTGGGAAACCTAACGGCTTGCCTGGAAAACTCACGGGAATGCGAAGAAGAGGCCACTGAAAAAGACCAGCAGCACCACATTGAAGGCAGCAAAGAGGCTAGGGAGGAACCAGGGACGTGGGACCAGAGGCAGGGGATGGGGCTCCTTCACCAGCGGCGTGGCATCCGTTAAGAGTGTCATGGCTGGGCCTCCTTCGCCTCCAGGGGAGGTCAGAGCCACCAGGCTTCCTCCCCCAGCCCAGCTTCCAGAGCTCCATGGCCACGGCAGCCTCAGAGCCGCAGCCCAGGGTGAAAGGAAAGAAGGCCCAGTGTGACATCACAGAGGCTGGGGGACCTCAGCAGAACTGTCTGCAGCCCTGCTCTAGCTGCCTCCGGTGACAGGCACTTCCAACAGCAAACCCCACCCCCACCCCGACATGTGCTGGGGAACCGGGAGTTCCTGCCCCTGAGAGGCTGATGTTGTTGGAGAAAATATGACCTGGAGAAACACATGGGAAGAAAGTTGGTAATTTTCAGCCGGCGCTGTAATCCCTGTAATCCCAGCACTGTGGGAGACCGAGGCAGGCAGATCACTCGAGGTCAGGAGTTCGAGACCAGCCTGGCCAACATGGTGAAACCCCATCTCCACTAAACATACAAAACTAGCCAGGAGTGGTGGTGCACGCCTGTAGTCCCAGCTACTCAGAAGGCTGAGGCAGGAGAATCACTTGAACCTGGAAGGTGGACGTTGCAGCGAGCCAAGATCGCGCCATTGCACTCCAACCTGGGTGGCAGAGTAAACTCCATCTCAAAAAAAAAAAAAAAAAAAGAAAGAAAGTTGCTGGGTTTTTTTGTTGGTTTGTTTTGTTTGTTTGTTTGTTTTTGAGATAGTTTCGCTCTTGTTGCCCAGGCTGGAGTGTAATGGCGCAATCTCGGCTCACTGCAACCTCTGCCTCCTGGGTTCAAGCGGTTCTCCTGCCTCAGCCTCCCAAGTAGCTGGGATTACAGGCATGCATCACCATGCCCGGCTCATTTTGTATTTTGTAGTAGAGACGGGGTTTAGTCATGTTGGCCAGGCTGGTCTCGAACTCCTGACCACAGGTGATCCACCCACCTCAGCCTCCTAAAGTGCTGGGATTACAAGCATGAGCCATATTAAACTTCCTTTATAAAAGGCCTCAAAAAGAAGAAACTGAGGCAGAAATTTAAAAATAAATATGCATTCATTCACTCCAAGACAAGTAACAAGCAAGGCAAAAGTTAAAAAGAAAAGAACAAGTTTTCCTCTGCCCAGCAAGCTCACTTCAAGGACAGTTATAAGATAACGCTGTTTAAGAGGCCAAGGCCAAAAGAATAAGCTCCAGACACCCCTCGCCTCCAGAGCAAAGTTGAAGAAAAAAAAGAAAGACAAATTCTTTGACTGTTACTCCTTTCCCAGGTTTCTTAAGCATGATTATGTTTTACAAATGTCTGTATTTAGCCAGTTCTTGTTTTTCTTTCAATGCAGCTACAAAGTCACCAGCTATGCAAGGCCACAAGTTATGCTATAGATGATGTGACCTGTCATATGATTAACTACTTTTATTTATTGGAAGTCTGCTTATAAAAACCCCGCTCTGTCTTTGTTCGATGCTCAGCTTTTTAGATGACAGTCCACTAAGCCAGTGCGTACCTGAAATAAACAGTCCTCTCGTTCTCTGTCTCAGTCTTGCCAGTCCTCAGTTTCCTGCAACATCTCTACTAAAAATACAAAAATTAGCCAGGTGTGGTGGTGCGCACCTGTAATCCCAGCTACTCGGGAGCCTGAGGCACGAGAATCGCTTGAACCTGGGAGGCGGAGGTTGCAGTGAGCCGAGATCTCACCATTGCACTCCAGCCTGGGAAACAAGAGTGAAACTATGTCTCAAAAACACAGAATAAAAGAAAAGAAAAGATTATGCAAAATGGAAGAAACTAGGCACAAAAAGCCACATATTGTATGGTTCCACTTACATGAAATATCCAGAGTAGCCAAATCCATAGAGATCAAAAGCAGATTCACAGTTGCCAGGGTGTGGGAGGAGGGGGACTGGAAGAGATGAGGTTTGTTGTTGTTGTTTTGAGACTGAGTCTCACTCTGTCGCCCGGGCTGGAGTGCAATGGCACCATCTCAGCTCACTGCAATCTCTGCCTCCCGGGTTCAAGCAATTCTCTTGCCTCAGCCTCCCAAGTAGCTAGGATTATAGGCACCTGCCACCATGCCCAGCTAATTTTTTTTTTGTAGTTTTAGTAGAGACGGAGTTTCACCATGTTGGCCAGCCTGGTCTCGAACTCCTGACCTCAGGTGATCCACCCACCTCAGCCTCCCAAAGTACGGGCATTACAGGAGTGAGCCACTGCACTCGGCCTAATTTTTGTATTTTTAAGAGATGGGGTTTCACCATGTTGGTCAGGCTGGTCTCGAATTCCTGACCTCAAGTGAGCCACCTGCCTCGGCCTCACAAAGTGCTGGGATTACAGGTGTGAGCCACGGCGCCCAGCCTCTTTTTTGATTTTTCAAAACTGACTCTCATATTAAGGAAGCCAAAACTTAAGTGATAACTGAAATGATCGTGTTACTGACCACAGGTTCTTTAGGCTCCGATAAAAATTGACACGAGGCCAAGCAAATTTCCCAGACAAGGCTTTATTAGGGGCTTCCGTTCCACCACGGGGGAGACAGCACCGCAGGGAGAGGTCTCCGGCTGGCTCCCCAGGGGACTGCGTTGTGGCGTCTCGAGGAGGGCGACACGCGTAATTCATGAGGTAGGTGAGCGTCCCTGCAGGAGTGACAGAACGCACAGGGATAGTTAGGAATCGCGGTAACACATACATCGCAGGATCAGAACACGACGAGAAAGCCTCTCCCTGGCAGAGGCTTTTGTTTTGTTTCTGTCTGTCACCCAGTCTGGAGTGCAGTGACAAGATCTCGGCTCCCTGCAACCTCCGCCTCCCAGGTTCAAGCGATTCTCGTGCCTCAGCCTCCCGAGTAGCTGGGATTACACCACCACACCTGGCTAATTTTTGTATTTTTAGTAGAGACGGGGTTTCACCTTGTTGGCCAGGCTGGTCTCAAACTCCTGACACCTCAGGTGATCCGTCCGCTTCGGCCTCCCAAAGTGCTGGGATTCCAGGTGAGAGCTGCCGCGCCGAGGCAGAGGTCTTGGTCTTGTAATGAGGCCGAGGGTAAAGAGTGGTCGTGCTTCCGGCTTCCTGCACACAAAGGCAATGGAGTTCATTCCCTGAAGTACAAGATTGGAAGTGCGACGCTGCCTATCTTCATTTTTCAAGGTCGTGTGATCAGTGGATGTGGCATTTTGTGTAAGATTTACAGTGGAATGCTGCTTATCTTAATGCTTTCACTGTCCTTCAATGAGCAGGTAAGAAAAAAAAAGGAAGAAAGAAAAATGTTGGGGGGGGGAATGCATTAGCGAATGCATTAGTGGAGTTGGCAGCCGAGTCCCATCCCTCCTCTGTCTCAATAAGTGTCAGATGATGCTATCATATAATTTTGTGGGAAAAAATAGGCCAAAGAAATGAAATTCAGAAGGACTTATTCTTTTTGGTTCTAAAATCAGTTTCTGAGAGCTGGCAGGCCCCAACTGCCAAGAGGAGACCCTGGCGGCCACAGCTCATCCTCTCTGACCAAGCCTTAGCTGGGGATGGGCCGGCCTCCAGGCAGGGCCTCCCGCTGGCTGGATCCCGGGCCACACTGTACAGAAGACAACCCCGTAGAGACCTTGGGTGGGGCAGAAGCCCCCTTCCCTCACTGACACCCTGCCGGTCTCTCCTGGGGTCTCCCAGTCTCTGCTGCCCAGTGGGGAAGCACCCGTCTCAGCCCAACCGCAGCCCCCCCCGGCTCCCTCCTGCCCTTTCACCTTTCCTGCCATTCCCCACTGTGTCCTGAAGTTTCTAAGAACATCCCCAGCGCCCTGTTGTCAGCTCTGGGAAGTCTAAAGTTCAGGGCTTTGGGTAATTAAACCCAAGGCCTCTCAGTGGGCTGGGGGTGAATGACCTGGCGAACGTGCCTGCGGAGATGCTGGGAGGAAGCTGAGTCAGTCTGCGTCTTTGTCAGGGTGGGCTGAGGCCAGTGACCCTCTGGGGGTCAGGGCCCTTGCAGGCCTCTTCCTTCCCTGACCTCCACCTTAGGAGGCAGCTGGCCCCTGAGACGCCTGCCTCACGACATTGTCCTGTCCCAGGAACTGGACTTTAGGAGGAGGGGAAGCTGGAGGGGGATGCAGCTTGACTCTTGGGAGAGACTTTGAGGTGTCTGGGCACAGGAGTGGGGAGTCCTCCGGGTACCCCATCAGGGACTGCTTCCACTGCTTGTATGGCCTCACCAGCCCAGCGCAGGAAGCCCCCTCTCCCTTCCCAGAATTGACCCTCTGCACCCTCTCCTGGGCCCTCTTCTCACTACCTCCATCTCCACCATGCCCCAACAGAGCCCCTCCCCCAGGCCCCTTTGGCCGCTCTCCACACCCCACAGCTTTCTGTCTGACCTGGTTTCTTAGCCTCTCTGGACCTCAGCCTCCTTATCTGTAAAATGGGAATAAGGATACTACTTCCCTTGTAACGCGGTGGTAAAGTTTAAATAAGCTAAGGAACACACTGCATGTCCTGCGGGCCCTGGCACACCAGACATGCTGACAGACGCTGGCTGCTTTCATCAGCTATGCAACCAAATTCTAAGGGGCCCTTCGTATGTGTCAGGCTGCGTGCCAGGAACCTAGAGGTACCACCGTACCACAGTACAAGATGCTGTGTCTGGCTTCGAAGAGATTTCAGTCTATGTGGAGAGAGAGAAAAGGGAAGCTATCAGCCAATAAAATCGTTTGCAAGCCTGTAATTCAGCAGGTTTTCAAGACCTGTCAAATGCCCAGCAATCTCACTCTGCAACTCTGCCTCTTAAATACAGCATCTTCCGGCCCAGCGTGGGGGTGGCTAAGCCCATCATCCAGATGTGATGAACTGGGGTCTGGGAAACCCACACCGGCCTCATCTGGCTTTTCCAGCCTGTCCTCCCTTCCACACATCAGGCTGACAGCACCAAACACGGCCGAGGCCTCAGCCCTGAGTCTCCCCGCTGCAGAGTGCCCAAGCCTGAGTTCCAGCAGGTTCTTCAGGGGCCGCTGACCAGGGAACACTGCGGTGAGGAGCGAGGACTTCGTCCCCACCCCGGCCCAGGGCAGGGGCTTCGTGGTGAGCCCACCCCACCCCAGAAGGCTCCTGGAAGGGCAGGGCAGACTGGCAGCAAAATCCTATAGGATGGGCCGGGCCAGAGGCAAGGGGTGGCCAAAGGCACCTGTCCAAGAGGTGGGAGGGACCACACCTGGGGGCAGGGACGAGTCAGGCACAGGGAACTCCGCCAGCCTAGAGGATCAAATTCCTCCGGGGTGAACTCTGAGATAGAAAGTTGGCCCGGGAAGCTCAAGGAGGGAGAGCGGCAGAGGGGAAGACTCTGCAATTCTGCTTGCCCCCCACCCCGGCCCAGGCAAGCCACCCTGCCCCCGGCCCCCACCTGCCCGCCCCGCCTGCCCTTCCTCACCCCGGTGCCTGCGGGATTGCTGGAGAGAACGCGGCGATGGAGCCGGGCAGGACCCAGATAAAGCTTGACCCCAGGTAAGTGAGGGCGGCGGGCCCTGGGCCAGTCGCTGGGCAGCGGTGGCCCCTATCCCGCGGCCTGTCCTCTCTCCCTCCCAGAGCCCTTTGGCGGCCGCACTCAGAATGAGACAGGACTGGAAATGCTCTAGCTGTTCCTAGGTCCTCAGGGACAACGTGGGTTTGGGCCAGGGTGTGACACTCCAGGGCCTCGGCCTTGCCCCCCAGCGTGGGGAGAGAAAGGTCGCAGAGCGGGGGCTGTGGAAGGCATTCGCAGAGGAAATGGCAGCATCCCTCAGCAGCAGGGGGCCCGTCCGTCTGTAAGGACTCACCCTTCCTCTGGGATCCTGCTCTTCCTCTCTGGTCAGTCCCTGGGCTGCTGCCCGACCCGCATGGAGAGAATCCACGGTGGGCTCTTCAGGCACGGCAGCCAGGCACAGCCTGGCTAGGTGGCAGCTTGTCTTACTCCCCCACCTGGGCCAGTTCTCCACTCCCTCTAAGAAAAGGGCCCTGAGGCCGGGCGCCTGTAATCCCAGCACTTTGGGAGGCTGAGGCGGGAGTCCAGGAGTTTAAGCCCAGTTCCAGTTTGAGTCCTGGAGTTCGAGACCAGTGTCTGAGCAACATGGCGAAATCCTGTCTCTACCAAAAATATAAAAAATTAGCCGGGCCTGGTGGCGTGCACCTGTAGTCCCAGCTTACTCATGGGGATGGGGGTTGAGTAGATCACTTGAGCCCAGGAGGTCAAGGCTGCCTGTATGAGCCAAGACAGACCACTGCACTCCAGCCTGGACAACAGAGCAAGACCCTGTCTCAAAAAGAAAAAAAAAGAAAGAAAAAGGAAGGAAGGAAGGAAGGAAAGAGAAGGGGAAGGAAGAGAGAAAGAGAAAGAGAGAGCAGAAGGAAGGAAGGAAGGAGAAGGGGAAGGGGAAGGGAGAGAGAAAGAGAAAGAGAGAGTGAAAGGAAGGAAGGAAGGAAAGAAAGAAAGAGAGAGAAAGAGGCCCTGAGGGGAAATGGACAAAGTCCTGCACTCAGGAGTGGTTGAGGGTCCAGTGTGCAACCCTCCCCCTTCCCCCAGCCCCCATGGTTCTGAGCACAGGCTGGTGTCTCGCCAGGTACACAGCAGATCTTCTGGAGGTGCTGAAGACCAATTACGGCATCCCCTCCGCCTGCTTCTCTCAGCCTCCCACAGCAGCCCAACTCCTGAGAGGTGAGTGGGGACCCTCCTCAGAGGGAACTGAGAGGAGGGAAACCAGGATAGCTGAGTGGAGCTGGGGAGAGGCGGCCCTGAGCTGGTGCACCTGGGCAGCCGGGGAGAATAACTGGCCCGGTGTCTGTCATCGTGGTTAAGGCTCTGGAGAAGGGCAATGCCTCAAGGAGTCAGTGGGTCAAAAGGGTAGCATGAGAGCCTGGCTCCGGAGAGCAACCGTCATGTTGGGCCTCCACAAAACTGGCCTCAAAGCTCATTCAAACTGCGGACACTGCGACCTGGGGCGCTTTTTCAGACCCCAGAGCCATCTGGGGACCCAAGATGGTGCCCAAGTGGTCCAAGCCCCATCGGGTCTCCTGGAGGGCTGCACGGCATCCGCCCTGGACCCATGTCACTCTAGAGGGTGGTTACGGTGAGTGACGTGCTTCACACAGGTGAACCAGTTGTATTTGTTTTACGATCCAGCCTTTCTGAAAAACCTTTGTCCTCACTGGAGCATTCTGTTGTCGGGTTTTTGTGTGTGTGTTTGTGGGTATTTGCCTCATTCCACCCCTGAGCTCTCAGGTGGACAGATGGGATTCAAAAACCTGTTCTACAGTGTTTATTGTAGTGGAGTAATTTGTTTGCAATAATAAGTCATAATTGTCCACTGAAGGGGAGGGTGTGGGGATCCCCGAGGCCAGCTCAAGTTCAGCTGTTGGAAGAATTCCTTGACTGGAAATTTTACCTTTGCGTTTTGTCGCTCTGTTTCCTGAAGATAACTTGGGGTGCTCCTGGTCGTCCATCTACTGCTTTGATTCCTTGGATCCCACCCATTCTTTCACTTTAAGAAAAAACAAGTAATTGTTGCAGAGGTCTCTGTTTTGCAGCTTCCCTTTTGCAAGAAGCACTTTTTCCAAATAAAACAGTAATTAAAAAAAAAAAAACATAGGTGAACCTGCAAAAGTCCTCGCAGTGTTGGCCAACAAGATTCTATTACTGAATTACTTTTGAAAGTGAAAGGCATTGGCTGGGAGCGGTGGCTCACGCCTGTAATCCCTGCACTTTGGGAGGCCGAGGCAGGTGGATCACTTGAAGCCAGAAGTTGGAGACCAGCCTGGCCAACATGGTGAAACCCCGTCTCTACTGAAAATACAAAAATTAGCCAGGCGTGGTGGCGGGCACCTGTAATCCCAGCTACTCGGGAGGCTGAGGCAGGAGAGTTGCTTGAACTCGGGAGGCGGAGGTTGCAGTGAGCCGAGATCACGCCACTGCACTGCAGCCTGGGCAACAGAGTGAGTGAGACTCCGTCTCAAAAATAAAAGAAAAAAAAGGAAAAGAAAAAGAAAGTGAAAGGCATAGGATGGGGCTCAGCTTATTCCCCGGACACCAAAAACATTGAGAATCACGGCCCGAGCATGCTTAGAGAAAATGTGACTCACGCCTGCGTTTTATTTTGTTTTCCTGCTGCATACTGACTACCTCTGAAATGTTGGATACAAGTCTGTGTCTCTGTAGCACATTTAACACGTTTCCCAGGCAACAGGAAGCTCTCAGTGTGCGTTCTGTTGCAGACGTGGGCGTGTCCTTGGGCTGTGTAGGGCTTCATTTCAGATGATCTGAACCAGAGCGGTTGCCAACTGCCAGTGTCCGGAGATGCCTGGTGGCCACTCTGTGGTTAGTGGCAGTAGGTGGCTGCTACATCTAGTTCCAGTGAACCTCCTGTTGAGAGAGTGCAGCTGGTGGTACAAGCCTTCCCTTACACAGCAGCTGTCCCCCCAGGGAATATTTGGCAGTGTCGGGAGACTTCCGGTTGCCACACTGGAAGGTGCTACTGGCATCTCGTGGTCAGAGGCCAGGAAAGCTGCTAAACTTCCTACAGGGCACGGGAAGAGCCCCCACAGAAAAGATTATTCAGGCCAAAGTGTCAATAGTGCTCAGGTTGAGAAACCTTGCCTCACGCAATGAAAACGGTTCTCACATTGCTTTGCTTCAGAATGTGCAAACGGAAACCCCAAGGCTGTTCAGAACAGGCCATTCTGAGTCTGCTAGTCCAGCAAGCCTCGCCGCAGGCAGAGTGGGGAGGATTTGGCCAGCGGGCCCTCCTGGGACAGGGAAGCTGCGAGGATGAGTTCGGGGACGCCCCAGGCCCAGGGGAGCGAGGTCTGGCAGGATTCAAGGATCCTGGTGGAAGAGCAGGGGACAATTGAGAGGGCCGGGCAGGAGAGGTGAGGCCCGCTGCGCGCCGGGCTGGCGGAGGAGCTGTGCTTTATCCCGCAGCGAGAAGGAGCTCGTGAAGGCTCTGAGGCTGGGAGTGGCTGGATGAAAGTCGTGCTTCTCGGCCATTCGTTAGTAATCAGGATGGACTGCAGAGGAAGAGGCTTAAGAAGCAGGGATGCGGCCGGACACCGTGGCTCATGCCTGTAATCCCAGCACTTTGGGAGGCCGAGGCAGGCGGATCATCTGCGGTCAAGAGTTCAAGATCAGCCTGGCCAATGTGGTGAAATCCTGTCTCTACTGAAAATACAAAAATTAGCCAGGTGTGGTGGCGCGTGCCTGTAATCCCAGCTACTCAGGAGGCTGAGGCAGGAGAATCGCTTGAACCCGGGAGGCAGAGGTTGCAGTGAGCCGAGATCTCACCATTGCACTCCAGCCTGGGTGACAGAACAAGACTCCGTCTCAACAACAGCAAAAAATAGGCAGGGATGTAAATGAGAGGTCGTTGCCCCGGCCTGCCATGCGGGAAAAGAGTCTGAGGCAGGGCAGTGGCAGGGAAAGAAGAGGAAGGGTTGGGAAACAGGCAGTTCAAAGAAAGAGCAGGCAATCTAGGAAAGACCTAGGCGTGTAAGTGCTGGTTCTGGGCAATGGTGACGGCACAGCCAGAAATAGGAGAAGCAGGAAGAAGTGCCTCTGGGAGGCTGTGGCGAAACTCCTTCCTCGCTTCATTTGTAAACTTTGTTGTTCCTTAATTTTTCTTTTTTTTTTTTTTTTTGAGACAGGGTCTCACTGTGTCACTCAGGCTGGAGTGCAGTGGTGCGATCTCGGCTTACCCCAACCCTCCACCTGCTGGGCTCAGGTGATCCTCCCACCTCAGCCTCCCTAGTAGCTGGGGACCACAGGCACATGCCACCAAGCCCAGCTAATTTTTGTATTTTTTTGTAGAGGTGGAGTTTCTCCATGTTGCCCAGGCTGGTCTCGAACTTAAAATTAAATGCTAAGAAAACTATTTCAGGCCAGTCACGGTGGCCCATGCTGCAACCCCAGGAGGTCGAGGTTGCAGTGAGCTATGATTGCACCACCAGCCTCAGCCTGGGCAACAGACCGAAACCCTGTCTCAATTTAAAAAAAAGAGAGAGAGAAAAAAAAGCTATTATTCTAGAAGAATGATTGAATCAATTTTTTTTTTTTAATTTTAAAATCACGGCTCACGGCAGCTCGAGCTCTGGGCTCAAGTGATCCTCCCACCTCATCCTCTCGAGTAGCTGGGACTGCAGGCACACACCACCATGCCTGGGCTAACTTTCAATTTTTGTAGAGACAGAGTCTGACTTCGTTGCCCAGGCTGATCTCAAACGCTCCAGCTCAAGCGATCCTCCTGCCTCGGCCTCCTGAAGGGCTGGGATTACAGGCGTGAATCACTGCGCCCGGCCTTAAAGCTACTTTTTATTGAACAAATACTACACGCCAGGTGCTTTGCTAAGAAGCTTAAGGAGAGGATAAGTAACCTGTCTATGGCCATAGAGCTATTAGTAAGTGGCATTTTACTTTGTTTTTGTTTGTTTGTTTGTTTGGTTTGGTTTTTTGTTTTTTTTTTTTAAGAGACAGAGTCTCGCTCTGTCCCCCAGGCTGGAGTGCAGTGGTGTGATCTCAGCTCACTACAAGCTCCGCCTCCCAGGTTCACGCCATTCTCCTGCCTCAGCCTCCCGAGTAGCTGGGACTACAGGCGCCCGCCACCACACCCGGCTAATTTTTTGTATATTTTTTAGTAGAGACGGGGTTTCACCGTGTTAGTCAGGATGGTCTCGATCTCCTGACCTCGTGATCCGCCCGCCTCGGCCTCCCAATGTGCTGGGATGACAGGCGTGAGCCCCCCCGCCCGGCCTGGCATTTTGCTTTGAACTCAAGTGTCTGACTCCAGTGCTCTACACTGTGCTCCTAAGCTACTGGAAGCAAATATGCAAGCATGGAAATAATTTTTGGTTAGAAAGCTGGGATTATGGGTGATTACTCTTTTTTCAAATTCTTATTTAATGTTCCTGTTTTCATTATTTTAAAAAGTAGTCTTTGCTATTCCAGAGACAGTGGGAAATTTAATAGTTGCTATAAGTATGATTATATTCAAAATGGTCAACTAGACAAGCATTTCCCAAAGTCTCAGACTCTTAATCCCAAGGAGTCCTTCATGGAAACAGAGTTCTGTAGGAAGTTAAGTTTTGTGACCAGGCACGGTGGCTCACACCTGTAATCCCAGCACTTTGGGAGGCCGAGGCGGGTGGATCACTTGAGGTCAGGAGTTTGAGACCAGCCTGCCCAACATGGTGAAACCCTATCTCTACTTAAAATACAAAAATTAGCTGGGCATGGTGGTGGGTACCTGTAATCCCAGCTACCTGGGAGGCGGAGGCAGAAGAATTGCTTGGATCCACGAGGCGGAGCTTGCAGTAAGCCGAGATCGCGCCACTGCACCCCAGCCTGGCGACAGAGTAAGGCTCCATCTCAAAAAAAAAAAAAAAGTTAAGTTTTGTAAAAGGTGCGTTCTAGACCCTCCTTTTGGAAATTTACAATGTAAATTAGCAGATTAAAAATGTCAGTATGCTCTGCAGGAATCATCACATTTAACCTTAATGCATTTCCAAAAATTCTTCAGCTGTGGAATACTTTTGTCCCATAGTGTCTATTTAGATGCCCTTTTGGGGAAATTGAGTTTAACCAGCAAAGAAGAGGCCATCTCCTAAGAAGATAGTTTGATGGACAGACCCAGTATCGGGCTATGGATGCTAAGGAACTTTTCCTTTCCTAATTAGAGTACCAAAGGCAACAGTTAGAAGACACTGCAAAACCATTTGTGTTGAACAGTCAGAATCTGCCCCACCCTCACCTTCATAAATGGAACGGCCCTCCCAGGGTTGCCTTTGATGATCTCTCCCATATCCACGAGTACACACACCTGGAGTCACTGTGTGTCATGGTTAATAAGAGTGTGGGCTTAGTCACGAATACCTGCGTTTAAATCTCTGCTCCTTCACTTCCAGGCTGTGTGACCCTGGGAGATGTGCTTCCTTCTCTGAGCCTCGTTTCCTGAAAAAGTCTATGAAATGCAGATGATGATAGGAATTCTCATAGGTTATTTCTTTCATTCAACAAATAGTTACAGAGCCGTTACTCCTCCGGGCGTTTGAGAACAGAGCACAAGCTTGACAAGGTCCCTGCCTCCGTGGAGTGTGCACCACAAGGTGGAGAGCCGAGAATAAGCGAGTAAACAGCTGTGTAAATACAAATAGCCCTGATGTGGGCGGAAGGAGGACATAACGTTACCCGGAATGGAGATTTTCACGGAGCAGGGAGCAGTTAGGGAAATGAAGACTGGGAAGGACTGGGTTGGTGGCGTGTGAAAGGGCAGTTTTTACGCTCTCCAAGGGCTGATGAGCACACGGGGCTGGGGGTAAGAGAGGCTCTAGCAATGGCCCCCGCTTCCCAACCACAGAACATTGGTTTTGGAAAACCACCTGCATTAATGTTGGCTTTTTCCTATCTGGACTTTGCCTATTGTCTGAGTTTTTTTAATTAAACATTTCTATTATAAAAATCATTCAGGTTTAGTTAAAAAAAAAAAAAGAAAGAAAGAAAATACAGAACAGTAAAAAGAGAAAAAAATCATCTACAGTCCCACCCAGAGACAGGCACGGCAAATATCTTAGTGTAATTTCCTTTTTTTTAATGCCTTTTTTTTTTTTTTTTTTTTCAGACAGAGTCTGGCTCTGTGGCCCAGGCTGGAGTGCAGTGGTGTGATCTCAGCTCAATGCAACCTCCACCTCCCAGTTCAAGCAATTCTCCTGCCTCAGCCTCTCCAGTAGGTGGGATTACAGGTACTCGCCACCATGCCTGGCTAATTTTTGTATTTTTGGTAGAGATGGGGTTCCACCATGTTGGCCAGGCTGGTCTCAAATTCCTGACCTCAAGTGATCCACCCGCCTCGGCCTCCCAAAGTGCTGGGATTACAGGCATGAGCCACTGTGCCTAGCCCTTTCTCTATGTTTTTATTTAACATTTGTAGAAATCATACTATTCCTAAAATTTTATGTTCTGTTTTTGTAAGCATGATACAAAATAAATTTTTCACATCATTGTATATTTGGAAAAATATGTTCTTTTCTAAAAAAAGGTTTATTTTTGTTATAAATACATATTCATTATAGAATAATTGGAAAAGAAAGACACTAGGGATTTTCACACACCGAGAAAAGGCCATGTGGGGACACAGTAGAAACGCGGTTGTCGGCTGGACCCGGTGGCTCACGCCTGTAATCCCAGCACTTTGGGAGGCCGAGGTGGGCGGGTCAGTTGAGGTCAGTTCAAGACCAGCCTGGCCAACATGGCGAAAACCGTCTCTACTAGCTGGGCGTGGTGGCAGGTGCCTGTAATCCCAGCTACTTGGGAGGCTGAGGCAGGAGAATCACTTAAACCTGGGAGGTGGAGGCTGCAGTAAGCTAAGATCAGACCAGTGCACTCCAGCCTGTGCGACAAGAGTGAAACTTCGTTGAAAGAAGAGAAGGGGGCGGGGCGGGGGGGGGAGGAGATGGGAGGGGAGGAGAGGGGAGGAGAGGGGAGAGGGGAGGGAATGGGAGAGGGGAGGGGAGGGGAGGGGAGGAGAGGAGAGTTGTCTGCAAGTGGAGGAGAGAGGCCTCAGGAGAAATCAAACCTGCTGACACCTTGATCTTGAACTAGCCTCCAAAACTATGAGAAAATAAATTTAAGTTGTTTAATTTTTAAAAAAGTGACTACTCAGAAAAGATAGAAAAAAGTAAGTAGAAAAGAAGACACAAATCATCCATAGTCCCATCACCCAAACATAAGCATTGCTAACTTTTTTCAGTATTATAGGTATTTTCCTTTTTTTTTTTTTTTCACCCAGGCTGGAGTGCAGCGGTGTGATCCTGGCTCACTACAGCCTTCACCTCTCCCGGAGTAGCTGGGACCACAGGCAGGCGCCACCACACCCGGCTAATTTCTGTATTTTTAGTAGAGGTGGGGTTTCACTATGTTGGCCAGGCTGGTCTTGGACTCCTGGCCTCAAGTGATCCGCCCACCTCAGCTTCCCAAAGTGCTGGGACTACCAGTGTGAGCCACCGTGCCCAGCCGAGGGTCAGCGTATTTTTTGACAAATTCACCCATAGTCCTGGTTGGTCCTGTGGTGCCACCAGGTGCGACTGACCGAGACAAGAGCTCCAGCTCAAGTCTGTACCGTGGCCACCTTTCTCCCTGTTTTGGTTTCAGCAGTCATATTGCTCCCACTGAGCTGCCCTCATGTTCCTTAGTCACCAAAACACAGAGCAGACTAGCTAATCCCTTCCTCGTGCTCACCCCGCAAGGCAACAGGACAATGACTGGAGTGTGGCAGTTTTCTCCCTTTCTTCCTCTTATCTAGTCAGGTAGCAGGTGCAAAGGAGGGTCCAATAACTAGAAAAGACACTTAGATAAATGACCACAGGTTCACTAAGGACCTAGAACCCTTTCTTTAAAACTAACGGCTGCATTAATGAATCACGTTTGTTCGGAAACACATATTGTGACTATATTCATTTTTTTCTGTTAGCAACGGTGAGGCCAGATGAGGTCTACCAGTATTTGTCAAAGTGTCTGCTATCCTCCGACCACTATCAGGTGAGCTTGTTAAAAATGCAGATGACTGGGCCCATCTCAGATCTATGGACGCACATGTCTGAACGTAGGGCCTGGGCAGCTAGCTGCTTTTTAACAACTCCCAAAATGACTGCAATATCCACGAAAGTTTGAAAACCTTGGACTATAGTTCATGTAAGACCAAGCATGAGGCCAGCGTGCGTCAGGTGTCCTTGGGGTTTTTATTTGATCCGTTTCTCTTTTGTTGAAGTTCTCCCCTGGCCGAGTGTGGTGGCTCACGTCTGTAATCCCAGCACTTTGGGAGACCAGGGTGGAAGGACTGCTTAAGCCTAGGAGTTTGAGACCAGTCTGGGCAACGTAGTGAGACCCCGTCTCTACAGAAAATGTTAAAAATTAGCCGGCCGTGGTGGGGGTGCACACCTGTAGTCCCAGGCTACTTGGGAGGCTGAGGTTGGAGGATGGTTTGAACCCGGAAGGTCAAGGTTGCAGTGAGCCATGATCACACCACTGCCCTCCAGCCTGGGCGACAGAGTGAGAACCTGTCCTCCTCCCCACAAAAAAGTTCTCTGCTAATGTCCTGGTTTCACCATATAATTTTGGTGAAATCAACTTAAACAGATCCAGAATGTCCCATAAATTATATTCGGCTTCAATTATGTTAATTGATCTACATTCGCTAGTGCAGCACCTGGCACTGGAGATAGAAAAGTGAAGTGGGGTTGGGCACGGGGGCTGAGGCCTATAATCCCAGCACTTTGCAGGGCCAAGGCGAGTGGATCACTTGAGGTGAGGAGTTCGAGACCATCCTGGCCAACATGGAGAAAACTATCTCTACTAAAAATATAAAAATTAGCCGGGCATAGTGGTGGGTGTCTGTAATCCCAGCTACTTGGGAGGCTGAGGCAGGAGAATCACTTAAACCCAGGAGATGGAGGTTGCAGTGACCCAAGTTCACACCACTGCACTCCAGCCTGGGCAACAGAGTGAGGCTCCGTCTTAAAAAAAAAAAAAAAAGAAAAAGAAAAAAAAAAGACTATTTCTTAGGTTGAATACTCTAGGTCTAAAAAATCCTCATTCCTGTGCACGGGTGGGAGCCTAGATCCAGTAAGGCAATTTCGATCCGAGGAACAAGCCCAGGCCTTCTCCCGCTCAGTCCCGGTCGTCAGCTCTCTGCCTTCTCCTCCTCTAGCCCTGGGCCCTGTGGAACTTGCCCTCACTAGCATCCTGACCTTGCTGGCGCTGGGCTCCATTGCCATCTTCCTGGAGGATGCCGTCTACCTGTACAAGAACACCCTTTGCCCCATCAAGAGGCGGACTCTGCTCTGGAAGAGCTCGGCACCCACGGTGAGGCCCCCGGGGCTGCCCTGTGGGGGGAACTGAAAAGAAGGCAGAGACCAAGGTGAGAATTCCTCTAAACTCAGCACGTCACTTCGGCAAAGAGTGTCCTGCCACGACCCGCGGAGGGCCGAGGTTTGCAGGCCGACCTCCCCTTGCAGTTAGGATCCTCTGCTTGGAAGGCTGTGCAGTGTTTGCATTCTAAGGGCTGCGGAGACAGCTGGAGATCTGCTCAGCCCACCAGCCGCCTCATCCTTGCTCCCCGCTACAGTGTTGCCACTTGAAGAGCTTCCTTCAGTGGTTCCTCAGAGTGTGGGGGAAAGTCTCATTCCACAGGGTCACACTCAGCTCCACCCTTACGCTGAGGCTTTTGAAACACCCTCCCACAGGTCCTTGGTTTGCTTGACTTAATTAGTGCTTTTTCCAGCTGGCAACGTTTAAGGAACGCTGCCTCGAATGTGTAGGTTTTGCCTCCTGTGTCCTTGCCGCAAAAGGCTTCCGGAGCCTCAGGGTCTCCCTCCCGCCCTCACCTGCTCCTGCCCCTTCTGAGCAGGTGGTGTCTGTGCTGTGCTGCTTTGGTCTCTGGATCCCTCGTTCCCTGGTGCTGGTGGAAATGACCATCACCTCGTGAGTGCCCTGCCTCGCCCCACCTCCAAGGGCCCCTCTGCTCCCGCTCACCAGGACTCGAGTCCGTGTCCTTGATCCCAGCTGACCATGTATCTGGCCCTTCCCAGCTTGTGCTAGTTCCGGGCTCTTGCGCTCCTGGCTCTGCTCAGGGAATGCCTCATTTTGGCATCTGGCACATTCCTCAGCCAGCCCTCTGTTCCCACAGTCTGAAATTCCCCTTCTCCCAGTCCTGTGGGCCGTCTCCTCTCCCTCGCCCCTCTTGGGTCACACACCCAGAACGCCCAGCCCTAGCTCTGCTCCTCAGTAAGCCCCACCTCTCCCTGCTGTCTTTCTCTCTGGCAGCAGACCTCGTAGGCCCTCTTCTCTCCCCACCCCAGGTTTTATGCCGTGTGCTTTTACCTGCTGATGCTGGTCATGGTGGAAGGCTTTGGGGGGAAGGAGGCAGTGCTGAGGACGCTGAGGGACACCCCGATGATGGTCCACACAGGCCCCTGCTGCTGCTGCTGCCCCTGCTGTCCACGGCTGCTGCTCACCAGGTGAGGCGGGGCCAAGGTGCCTTCCCCAGGAGCCGGGGAGCCTCTCCTGGACCCCTGGTCCCCTTCAAGGCTCTGGGAATTAGGCGTGAATAGGCCAAAGCCAGTGACGGAAGGGTGGGCATCCCACGGCCAGGACCCACGGGCGCCACCCTCAGGGGACAGGGGAGCAGAGGAAGGAGAGCTCCTCAATTGTCATCACTGAACTTCACTGCACCCTGCAAGCCTTAGCCACACAGAGAAAACTGGACTTGGGGCCATTCGCTTGCCCCTTCTGCCCACTTTGGTGAATGAGGTTGAGGTCACACTCCCAGACCTCGCTCCAAAGACGGAATTCTTGTCTGGAGGTGAGTGGGAGACCAAGAGGGTTCCCAGCACTCTCAACATTCTGCTTTTTTCCTCTGTCCCCATCCACTTAACCTGGTTGGTGTTTATGACAGCAGCCGAGCCTCAGCCCAGGAGCCCTGTGAGGAGCCGGGGCGTCTTCCTGGGGCAGGGGGTTTGTGGGCCCATGTTCCTAACCCTCTTCCCCACTCAGGAAGAAGCTTCAGCTGCTGATGTTGGGCCCTTTCCAATACGCCTTCTTGAAGATAACGCTGACCCTGGTGGGCCTGTTTCTCGTCCCCGACGGCATCTATGACCCAGCAGACGTAAGCCGGGAGTAAGGGACAGCACAGTCCAAGACTCATTTAGTACCTTTGTGTTCTAAAAGGAATCACCAGAGCCAACACCCCTTGACAGAGGGCCCCAGAAAAGGGTGGCTGTGGGAAAACAGAGGCTCAGGGACTGCCAGGGAGAGAACCGCAATAGGCCAGGCCCCCGGGCTTTTTCATTACCGTTCCTGCCGTGGGAGAGGAGAGCTCAAAGGAAGCACCAGGTGCCATGATGCATGGCTCACGAGGCCGAGGTGGGAGGATTGCTCAAGAGTGGGAGTTCAAGACCAGCCTGGACAATATAGCGAGATGCCATTTCTAAAAATGTTTTTAAAATTAGGCTGGACATGGTGGCTCACACCTGTAATCCCAGCACTTTGGGAGGCTGAGGTGGGAGGATCACTTGAAGCCAGGAGTTTGCGACCAGCTTGGGCAACATAGTGAGATACCATCTCTTTTTTTTTTTTTTTTTGAGACGGAGTTTCTCTTTTGTCGCCCAGGCTGGAGTGCAGTAGCGCATCTCGGCTCACTGCAACCTCCGCCTCCCGGGTTTAAGTGATTCTCCTACCTCAGCCTCCTGAGTAGCTGGGATTACAGGCATGCACCACCACCCCCGGCTAATTTTGTATTTTTCATAGAGATGGGGTTTCTCCATGTTGGTCAGGCTGGTCTTGAACACCTGACCTCAGGTGATCCGCCCGCCTCTGCCTCCCAAAGTGCTGGGATTATAGGCGTGAGCCACCACGCCTGGCCCATCTCTATTATTAAAAAAAAAAAAAAGTTAGCTGGGAATGGTGGTGTGCACCTGTAGTCCCAGCTACTCAGAAGCCTGAGGCGAGGGGATCACTGGAGCCAGGAGTGTGATGCTGCAGTGAGCTATCATTGCACCTCTGCACTTTCAGCTGGGTGACAGAGTGACACCATCTCTTGAAAGAGAGAGAGAGAGAGAGAGAGCTTGCCTGCCTCACTGACTACTTTCTGTTGCCACCAGATTTCTGAGGGGAGCACAGCTCTATGGATCAACACTTTCCTTGGCGTGTCCACACTGCTGGCTCTCTGGACCCTGGGCATCATTTCCCGTCAAGCCAGGCTACACCTGGGTGAGCAGAACATGGGAGCCAAATTTGCTCTGTTCCAGGTAACTATACCCTGGGAGAGAAAAGATGTTTCATAACCGAGCTACAGATAGTTGGGGTTAGTAAGTGAGGCCAATAAAGGCTAAAGTGGGCCGGGAATCTTTTTCATAAGCCTCACGTCTCTCATGAGATTTGGAAAATGATTCCTGTGCTTCCCGCTTTTGTCTTTCTGTGCTGGAATTGTTTCCCAGGGCTGCCATGACAAAATACCACAAATCAGATGGCTTAAAACAACAGACATGTCTTGTCTCATTGTGCTGGAGGCTAGAAGTCCACAGCGAAGGAGCCAGCAGGGCCCTGCTCCCTTTGAGCCCTGCAGGGGGTCCCAGCCTCTCCCTAGTTTCCTAGTTGCCAGCAGTCCTGGACCATCCTTGACCAGCATTTGCGTCACTCCCATTTCTGCCTCCATTATCTCGTTATATTCTCCCCTTGTGTTTCTGTGTGTCTTCTATTTTTTTTTTTTTTTTTGAGACAGAGTCTTGGTCTGTTGCCCAGGCTGGAGTGCAGTGGTGCCATCTCAGGTTAAGCAATTCTCTTGCCTCAGCCTCCCAAGTAGCTGGGATTACAGGCATGTACCACCACGCCCGGCTAATTTTGCATTTTTAGTAGAGACGGGGTTTCGCTATGTTGGCCAGGCTGGTCTCAAACTCCTGACCTCAGGTGATCCACCCGCCTCAGCCTCCCAAAGTATTGGGATTATAGGCGTGAGCCACTGTGCCCCTCCATCTCATCTATTTTTAGGACACCAGTCAAATTGGATTAAGGGCCCACCCTATTCCATTATGACCTCATCTTAACTAATTACATTTGTAACAAACTGTTCTTAAATAAGGTCACGAGTACCGGGGGGCAGGACTTCAACATAGCTTTTTGGGGACACAATTTAACCTGTAACACGTGTGTTAGTTAACAAACCTTACATTTGTCTCCTTGCTTCTTCCTTTCCTTTTCTACCTATGACTTCCTAAAATCCTATAACCCATCAACACCAGCAGAAGCATTAGCATTAGCTACAGGACCTACCTACACCATGTGCCGGGCACTTTCACACATTACACTTCAATTTTCACAACCCCAGGAGTCATTTTTCCCATTTTACAAAGGAAGAAACAGACCCAGAGATGTTCTTGCTCAAAGGCACATAAGGAACGGGGCTAGAATTTATACCCAGGTATGTCTTGACTCCTCCACACATCTGTCTTCTCCTTACCCTGCCCTTCATCTTCACAACGCTTCTGAAAATTCTCTCAAAGGCATGTTGGCCCACCTTCTACGTGCTGCCTTCTCTAACCTCAAAGATGACTTTTCCACCAAATGCAATGACTTCTAACCCAGTCTTGTTCTCCTTCTCTCTCCATCCTGTCTCCTTGCTGGTCTTCTACTCCCAAGGCATAATGACTGCCCTACAGTTTAACAGAGTGAGTTCACGTACATTCTCATTTGATCTACGTACATGCCTCCCAAATGTGAACTTCCAGGCACATAGGAGGTAGAATGAAAGGGGCTATGGGAATAGAGAGAGAAGTCCCCGGAATGAGTCAGGGACTGAAGGGGCAGAAAGGTTCTGGGTCCCAGAAGTACTTGAGACCAGGCCGAAAGATAAAAGCCGTGTGATGGCCGAGCCTGCCCATGGTTAATGTGGGGGAGCCTGGGTGAGCCACGCCAGCCTTGAAGAAGCTGAGGTTTCCACACAATGTACTCAGGGAGGGCAATACTAAGATAAATGGTGCTTCCAGGGCTTCTGGACAGTGATCTTCTTCTTCTCCCCTTTTGCCTTCTTTATTTGGTGAAATATTGATAAAATTTGCCATTAATGATTTTGAAGTGTCAGGTTCTGTGGCATTAAGTACATTCCCATAGTTGCACTACCATTACCACCGTCCATCTCCAGGCACCCATTAAACACATTCCCCATTGCCCTCTCCCTGCAGTCTCTGGGATGGCAGAGCTTCCAAAGGGCATTTTAATGGTTAATTGTCCATTATTCTAGGAGCAGGGACCTCAGGCACTTGAGCTAGATGGAATGACTCTTCTCTAATCACCCATCTCTTTATCCATTGAGTGCTCATTGGTAGCCATGGCTGAGAAAGGGAATTAAAAATGAACCCTTTAATCAGTTCTTATATCTTGTCAGAAACTCTAATAAACTACTGGGTAGAAAATAAGAATGTCATTTGCCTAAAGATGAAAATCCCACAGATTTTTAATGAAGTGAGAGCCTCAACCCTCTGTGACTGCACAGATCTGACGGTGGGTGGAACCTGCCCAGCGGAAGGGCAAGGCCCGGCAGTGGGCTGGCTGCGTTCTGTGCCGTGAGGGCAGGCCCAGTCCACCCTTGCCTCTCTTTTATGTTCCGCAGGTTCTCCTCATCCTGACTGCCCTACAGCCCTCCATCTTCTCAGTCTTGGCCAACGGTGGGCAGATTGCTTGTTCGCCTCCCTATTCCTCTAAAACCAGGTCTCAAGGTGAGCACGTTAAGCCTCCTGTCCCATCGTGGGATGGATGAGACGGGGAGAGTCAGGAAAGAAGGGGCCCCAGAACAGACATTAGGCCAGCCTGACTTCTGCTCAGAGTGTTCAGAAGGGATCTTCGGGAAATCCCAACAGAGGCTTTAAGGAAACTATGACCTCTCTGATCACACAGAAGAGAAGTGAAACCCCACAGCTTGAGGCCAGCCCTGAGGGCCAACCCAGGAAGCCATGGGTTCAGTCCTCAGCTCCTGGGAGAGGAATGGGAATGGTTAAAAAACAGAAGCCCATGTTGATTGAACACACATAAGAAATGGACTGTATGCCAGCCTCAGAGCACAGAAGTAGACAGCCAACTTCCGGTTCTGGCTCTACCATTAACCCGCTGTGTTATTTATGACAATTTCGTATCCCTAAGTCCTGATTTGGGGATAAACTGGAGAAAGTGTTGCTCAACTCCCGTGCCCGGGCTGCTAGTAAAATACCACCTCTGTAACTCAGCATAACCTACGCTGTATTTCACCCTACACTGCAGTGATGAATTGCCACCTCCTCATACTGGAGACTTTTCTAATGACTGTGCTGACACGAATGTACTACCGAAGGAAAGACCACAAGGTTGGGTATGAAACTTTCTCTTCTCCAGACCTGGACTTGAACCTCAAAGCCTAAGGTGGATGGCTTGGACAATGAAAGGATGCTGTACTCATTAGAATACAAGATTCCTTTACTGTCCCTCAACCTTGACCAAATGGGAAGCATTCCCCCTTGTCAACACAAGCTGGCAGATACATTTGACTCTACAGATGAAGGTGAACAATGTTAGAATAAAATTGCTTTGGATCTTGCCTGGAAGGTGTTTTAAGTTTTGTAATAAACAAGATGATGTCTGAAAATGTGTAACTGGGCACCTTGCCTCTGTCCATGTCACTATTAACCCTTCAAGGTTGTATATTGCTGGCTAGGTGCGACAGCTCATGCCTGCTATCCCAGCACTTTGGGAGCCTGAGGCGGGAGGATCACTTGAGCCCAGGAGGTTGAGGCTGCAGTGAGCAATGGTTGTGCCATACACTCCAGCCTGGGTGATACAGCCAGACCCTGCCTCTGGAAAAAAAAGAAAGCTTACTGAGCTTTCCTAAAGCAGATGAAAAGAAGAGTATATAGTATTGTGTCTGGCATAAGAAAAGGAGAACTTGGTGAGGTGAAATAGCACCAGCCCAGAGTCTTGAAGAAGCCAGGGGCCCTGGAGAACAGATGGAAGGTGACCTTTCCCTGACAGGTGTGCTACTACGGCACCAACCACGCGGGGCCCTGGTGGTCTGGGTCAGCCTCACTTTGTGGGACAATGGCTTTTGAGTCTTCAGTGACAAGCTAGAAAAGGAATCTCCTGACACTGTGGTCATGGAGCTTGATTTCTAAGGAGAGAGTCAGCACGTGGAAGCAAAGGCACCGAGAGTCCAAGTAAAAGTCCCAAATCCATAAAATGCACCACACAGGTCAAAACACAGGACACGGCCGGGCGCGGGGGCTCACGCCTGTAATCCCAGCACTTTGGGAGGCCGAGGCAGGTGGCTCACCTGAGGTCAGGAATTCGAGACCAGCCTGCTCAACATGGAGAAACCCCATCTCTACTAAAAACACTAATTAGCCAGGCGTGGTGGCGCATGCCTGTAATCCCAGCTACTTGGCAGGCTGAAGCAGGAGAATCGCTTGAACCTGGGAGGCGGAGGCTGCAGTGAGCCGAGATTGCGCCACTGCACTCCAGCCTGGGCAAGAAGAGCAAAACTCCGTCTCAAAAAAAATAAAAATAAAAAATAAAAACACCACTGGACATGGAACATCAGGTAAAACCACACTGCCTTTATTTGGCTAAAGAACAAAATCCAAAATAACTCAGAACAAACTAAGAACAGACAGGAAAATTACAGACTGAACCCCACTTGAGGAAGACTTCCCCACGGACTCACACTGGTGATGGGGCGAACGTTCAAGACGAAGCCAGCAGTCCTTTCCAAGACTCTTTTGTCTTTTAGGGATCCTCAATACAAAACAACCCAACTAATCCAGGATATGTGTTCAAAACAGTCAGTTTTCCCCCTCAAAAGGCGGGAAGGCCCACTTCAAACCTCCAGGAACACAACCCAAGTCATCCCAGTGTTAAACCTGGTGCTTCCGTTTTCTGCCTCAATCCGAGCGCTAACATAAAATCTTGGCAGACAACAATCTTTCTTCTTCAAGAAAATTAACATTTAATGGTATAATCCCAAGAACATGTTCTACTTATTTACTTGGAAAAATAGAAGCTAGGGACCACTCTTTATCCGATGGCAGTCTATTCTATGAGAGAAAACAAGAACAATCATTGTTATGACTTTGAAAAATAGAACCTTTAAAAATACTTATATTGGTAAGCTTAAAAAAATATCATCAGTTAAAAACATTAAGGGGGCTTTCTTTTTCTACCTGTATTGGTTCAACTTCTGGTGAGAATGTGTGCTGATAGAAAATCTAGAAGCTATGGCTTTTAGGGAATTAAAGAAAAGCAGCAAAATATAATTGATTTGGAAAGATTTTGGATAAGTGATCTGGAACAGGATTAAAAAGGCAAAGAGCTCTTGAAAATAAGCTACCCATAGTCAAAATAATCCAGGAAGGGGGAATGACGCCCTATGAACCACTGTGGAAAGAACATCTAGAGATGGTCTGACCAGCTGTGCAGCCTCCAAAAAAAAATCACTATCGCTCAGGTGCAGCCCCCCAAAAACCACCATCACTCAGGTACAGCCTCCAAAAACACCACCATCACTCAGGTGCAGCCTAAGGAGTCATCAGTGATCAGAAAGTGGCTAAGTTTCCTTAGCCTCCCTCATATTTTTTCTCTTCTTCAGGATTTTCAACCTCCTCACATCCCTAACTTTCTTACCCAAGCCTCAGCAATATAATGGTCTTTGGCTCTAGCTATCAGCAATAGCTGCAAGAGCACAAATGATCCCTTCCTAGTCCTCTAAAGTGTCAACCTCCATTCTTCAGTGCTTCTGAATCTAGCATAAGACCAAGCTTTCCGTCCGGCCCACCGGAAGGCAGTGGCTGCGCCGGCACCTCCCCGGCTCTGGCCTTCTAATGTCTCACACACAGAGGCTCTGCTCTAAGGCCAACACTTCTGGCTCTCTCATCTTGGCCACATTTGGCCCACCCATGTTGACTGCTTTCTCGTGTGTGATTCAGGGAAACAGCTCCATAGCCTCAAACGTTAATATCTGAAGATTTAGATCCCAGGCATTGTGGTGGTGTGCACACCTCTAACCTCATTTAATTAGGCACAGATGACCACATTATGCAACTTCCCAACAGCTTTCTCCATCTACCCGTGCTAGTCCAGCACCTCAGACCACATTTACCCCAAAGTATCTAACAGGCCACACTATAAAAGATTTTAGCTTTCAGTCAGACAAATAGCTTTCAGTCAAAACGATTAGACTGAGGTGGTAGAAGCTCACCAAAAGGGGAAAGGGAGTTTCCCAATAACATGTACGTTTGCTGGCCCTAGCAGTCTCAGAGGCCTGTCAGCCTGCAGGTCCCGTTCCAAGCACAGGGCATGCCAAGAGCAGCCCACTGAGAGCAGAGGAAGAGGGCTCAAACATTTGGGACCCAGACAATATATTTAGGAGGTATGGCTCCAATAGGGAGGGAGGAGGAAAACCACGTTCCGGGCATCTCCCTGTCTATCCAAATACACTTGCATAATGTGCACTTGGAGGAACCAAGCAGATGGGCTTCAGCACAGACTTCACTGCCACACCACACCAGGGAGAATAAGTTAGACAGAAACAGGCAGCATTCCCAAAGAGAGAAGGCTGACGCAGAAAAGTTCAAAGATGAGACTATGTAACACTGGGTAACACAGGAAAACACTAACTTCAGCTGTTTCAAAGACAGACAGGATTCCAAGCCAAAGCTTGTATGACCAGATTTAAGAGTAAGAACTGCGCTTCAAAGAAGAGTTAGAAATGTCGTTGTCATAGGCGATCAGGATAACAAGAGGCTTCATTCTCCCTCGCCTCTGTGACGCTCTTTCTGGGTGATCCAAGTTTTGTTTTTTTTCTAGTTGATTATTTCTCTTTATTTCTGTATGTGTGTGTGGTTTTTGTTTTGTTTTGGAGACAGAGTCTCGCTCTGTCACCCAGGCTGGACTGCAGCGGCACCATCTCTGCTCACTGCAACCTCCGCCTCCTGGGTTCAAGGGATTCTCCTGCCTCAGCCTCCCAAGTAGCTGGGATTACAGGTGCCCACCACCACGCCTGGCTAATTTTTGTATTTTTAGTAGAGATGGGGTTTCACCACGTTGGTCAGGCTGGTCTCAAACTCGTGGCCTCAAGTGATCCACCAGCCTCAGTCTCCCAAAGTGCTGAGATGACAGGCGTGAGCCACCACGCCTTGCCTGGGTGATCCAAGTTTTAAGAACCAAGGTAGTCCTGCTGTGCAGGCAATGATTCTAGCCTCTGACCCTCAGGCGGAAAACTAGGTGTTACCAGAAAGTGTTTAGGGAGTGGACTATGAGATGCTCACAGTCCTAGCAGAGGCAAGGAAAGAGAAAATGTGGTTTTCTTAGCTGAAAACACTAAAATTCCACCCCCACAAGGGGTATTTATGAGTGACAGGGGTGGGGCCTGGACATAAGCAATTTTCCCCTGGATCTAGCCACAGGATTACTGATGGGTGATGATCTGCTAGGCCGCGTAGCTAAGCAGCTAAGGAGACAGGAGGCCAGGGCTTTAAAAGTTAGAGCATGCTCAACAGCAAGTGCTAAGCATTAGCATTCTTTGATTTGAAAGTCAAGTGTTGAATCCCCCCGGGCAAGCCAACAAGGCAGATGGAACCACAACCACCAGGCGTGTGTGAAAAGTGGGGAGAAAACCTACCACACTCTTGTCACGTGAGGGTATGCTCTGTGGCTTGCTGGAGGAGCAGCAGAGGGAGGTCCCTGCCAGCTGCAGCTCTCAGAGGAAAAGAAAGATGTGGAGCACTGGTTCCAGGGAAGAATGTTCTGAAGAGGGACAGAGGTCAAGGTGATAAGGCTGTTGCTTTAGAAAGGAAGGTGTTTCCTATGCTTTTGCCTTTACATTCTGTGCAAATCTCTCTAATATGGCTATGACCAAAATGGATTAACATCAAGTTCCAACAGCAGACATTTACAAAGTATCCTTTGTAAAAGGCTAGGTAATATTAATAGCATTCAAATAGGAGTAGCAGGGCCAGGCACTTACTCCCAGTAGGAAACTAATCTCAATCGACTTGGTATAGGATTGAGTATTGTCCCGCTCCTCTCCTCATCATTGTAACTCTAAAAGTGTTCCTTCCTTCGAAGGTAGATGGCACGAAAGAGACTGACAAAAGCTCCCAAAGAACTGGGTCACAGAGTTTTCTGAGAAGATGAACACAGCAGAAACACTGCAGTTGATGCCATGGGTCTGCTTCCATCCCCATCAGTGTCTTCATGGACCCCATTGGGTCCAACAAGAAACTCCTCAGGGAGTAAGAAAAGTTAGGTTCAGATCTCCTTCCCGCAGCCACAATGACACTGGTGACAGCAGTACGTTCAGGGGATTTGTGACTGTAACTCTGCTTTTCGCTTTTCCTTAAGGAAATCAAAATTAAGATATTTCTCCACAAATTACCCATCAGCGTGGCTCATTTCGTGAAGGACTTGGCAAGCCACATAGCTTCAGAACGGAAGGCAAATGCTATAGTATACCGGGAAGAAAAGGCCTCTGCGTATTACACTACCTCCTTCTTCTGCCCACTCCTCAGGGGCAAAAAATTAGTTCTACATTTGAAAGACGAATTTTTTAAAAAATTAATGAAAATGACAATTTCCCTGTTGAGATCACGTGAACATAAACAGTGAAACAAAGCCCTTGGGGGGGGGTAAATGGATGCAGAGCAGGCTTCTAAGGTGCAGTCCCCCTCCTTCGTGTGGGTGAGTGATGTCACTTGCAGGACAGGCTGTTTGGGTTCCCCCAGTCCTAGGTCTTCTTTCCCCAGTTGTCTTTCCTTTGTAGCTGTCCTTAGGTTTAGTGTTGGGGTCACAATTTGGAATTCAACAGAGAGCTTCTGAAGGTAATGGGACAGAAAGGGAGGACAGGAAAGGAGGGAGGAAACATTAGTCTTCTTCATCCTCACTGATATCATAGGCTGCAGCCTTGTGCCTGGAGAGATTTGCTGGGGAGCAAGGTGGGGAAGTCTTGCCGGAGAAGGGCCATCGGAAAGAGGGGGAGGGGGAGCGCTCGCGAGTAGGGCTGCTGCTGGGGCTCTGCTTCGGGCTGATGGCCTGCAGCATCCGGCCCTTCCCCTCTTTCAGCATATGTTTCTGCAGAAACCGAAAGGAAGAGTCAGAAAAACACCGTGGATCCTACTTAATCATCACTGAAGCATCTAGGACTGGGATAGTCTATGCTGTACTATTTATTTAAGGGTTCTCCCCTGCTGTCATCACCCGGGAAATTCCCCATTCTTCCTCAATAATCTAGTCTAGGATTATTCTAATTTATCCAAACACCTTCACAGACAGATCCTTCCTGATATCTAACCTAGGACTCACTTGCTCAATCTTTTATTTGGTTGAAAAGACTGCTACTCCTCAAAGACAGAATTCCCACCTTACCTGGGGTTCCTGCTGCAGCTACTTGTAGTGGAGGCTGCTTTCTTTTTATTGTTCTTTATTCTTTCCTTTCCTTCTATCTAAAATCATACCACAGATAAAAGCTGGGCAAGGCGACTTGCTTATCTTGTCACCAGACTTTAAGGTTGAGAGAGAGCTGGCAAAATTATCTAGGAGAATGTGTAACGTCTTTCTGTAAAGGTTTCAAAAACCTTGCTGGGGACAGTTGAAAGATAGTTCTGCCCAGATAAGGGGATAGACTAGATAACTTCTCAGTGTCGATGCCCCTTCCTGCTCAATGATTCTGTCATTCTTTCCACAACATGGAACTCCCTACATTGTCCAGTGGGAAAGAACATACCAGTGCTCCTTCCGGACCAAACATTTCCAGAAAACTTCCAATGAATTCTCGGGACTTCTCCTCCCACTTCTGAATGAGGTCAATGCTTTTTTCCTCCACCTTCTGAACAAATTCTTTTGACTTTTCCTCCACATCTTTCACTTTCTTCTTTACTTTGTCAACCCTCTCCTGCAAGTGGTATTTCTTCTCCTAGATAAAGAAATAACTCTTCTGAGAAATAATGCTCATCCTAAACTTCTCTACCATAAGAGAACGAAAAAACATGGCTCAAGCACTCAATTGACACTGTTTTCAGTCTAGAATTTTGCTTTGCTTTAATCTACCCCACTCTCAGCATAATAACAGATAAGATATGCTGTGGATGCACACACAAGAAGTGGTAATTCTAATATTGTGGGCATTTGGGAATAAACTAAAAATATAGGCTATACCCAGTAACAGGCACGTAGCCAAATAAAGTCAGAGTTTTAAAGATAAAACATAAACTTGGAACATAAACATGCGCAGCATGGCCCGAACCTCATTCCAGACGGAGATACAGAGGCAGCTAAAAGATCACTGCACAATACTGCCAAGAATAAACTAATTACAATAGATTGAAAGAGAAAATACTAGATCTTTTACTTAATTAATCTGCTTATTGTACTGGATTTTTCCCCTCTATCACTGGCTTATTCTATTATTTTAAATGAATTGTGTTTTTTGCTTTTTGTTCCTTTAGTATTTTAAGGTCCATTTACTCATTTGCAAAATGATGATACTCGTTGGTCTTACCAACTTTGCTAAAGATAAGGAAAATGGTATAAACCCTCCGGTGGAAGGGAAGGGAGTATTTAGTCAAATGAGAAGTATCCTTGGCCAGGCACAGTGGCTCATGCCTGTAATACCAGCACTTTGGGAAGCCGAAGTGGGAGGACTGCTTGAGGCCAGGAACTCGAGAGCAGCCTGGACAACATAGCAAGACCTCATCTCTACTAAAAATAAAAATATAAAAAATAAGCTGGGTATGGTGGCCTGTGCCTGTAGTCCC
This sequence comes from Homo sapiens, assembly GCF_000001405.40. Classification (NCBI taxonomy): domain Eukaryota; kingdom Metazoa; phylum Chordata; class Mammalia; order Primates; family Hominidae; genus Homo; species Homo sapiens. Next base: position 196,240,577 of record NC_000003.12, read on the forward strand.
AGCTACTCAGGAGGCTGAGATGGGAGGAGCACTTGAGCCCGGAGGTCAAGGCTGCAGTAAGCCAAGATTGCGCCACTGTACTCTGGCCTGGATGACTGAGTGTGACTCTATCTCAAAAAAAGAAAAAGAAAAGTACTCTCAAAATTTCCAGATCATAAAGAGAAAAGGGATTATGTTTAGAATTTTTAAACACCTGATTTTTATGGGAAAAATAAAGCTATAGTAAGTAAATTAACAAGAGCTAGGGTTTATCTGCCTAGATAAATCATATTTAGATGTAATCATTTTATCCATTCTTATAGCACAATTTACAGAGATGGGAGTAGGTCAGGGAGCATGGTAAACTGGTTATGTAGAAGACATTAAAGTTAGCAGCTTTCTTCTTTTTAAATCGATTTTATTGAGGTCTAATTTACATACAAAATGTATAGTGTTGGCTGGATACGGTGGCTCATGCCTGTAATCCCAGCACTTTGCGAGGCCAAGGGGGTCCGATCGCTTGAGGCCAGGAGTTTGAGACCAGCCTGGCAAACATGGCAAAACCCCATCTCTGCTAAAAAAAAAAAAAAAAAAAAAAAAAAAAAAAATTAGCCAGGCCTGGTGGCACATGCCTGTAATCACAGCTATTCAGGAGGCTAAGGCACCAGGAGACAGAGGCTGCAGTGAGCCGAGATCACGCCACTGCACTCCAGCCTCGGTGACAGAGCGAGACCCTGTCTCAAAAAGAAAGAAACACTACATATATATATATTTGCATGAATTTTTTTAGTTTTTTTGTTTGTCTGTTTGTTTAGAGATGGGGTCTCGCTATGTTGCCCCCAGACTGGTCTCAAACTCCTGGCCTCAAGCAGTCCTCCCGCCTCAGCCTCCCAAAGTACAGGCATGAACTACCATGCCCAGAAAAATATATAGAGTTTCTAAAAGGCAATATTAAGCTAAGATAAACTTAACTTTCGTCAATCCAAATTTAAAACTCAGGTCTGTGTGGGAAGTGGTGTGTCGGGTGTCACTATCCACACGAGGAGGGCTCATAGCCTTTCGCAGGTTCCCAAGACATCATCCAACCGAAGAAGAGAGAGGAAGTTTAAGAGACACCGTTTTCCATTTATTGACAGAAATACTGCACTATATAAATTACTCATTTATTTAGTTGGCTGTATGGCTTTATACGAATGTGTTGGTACCAGACCGTAACGGCAGAAACTGTCTGTTTCATTCTTTTTGTGAACAGTTAACATAGTGGTAATTCATTCACTGAACTTTTGGGAGTGATCATCAAAGCCAACTGCAAAGCCAGTTCAGCTGAGATGGAGTGGGAGGTGATATGTCTCCTACAGAGTCAGGGAACTCTGGGGTAAGGCTGGAACTCACGTTGATAAAGCTGACATTGAGCTCCTTTGCTGTGTAGCCCCTCTGCAGGTTCCGCCTCGCATACACATCATAATCCCGCACAATTCGGGTGATGATGTCTGATGTGGAGATACCTTCTGTCCTCTGTGTTGGAGCAAACATGCCTAACTCAGAAACACATACAGACAAACACTGTGAGGTTCTGGTTAGCTCAGGTATTAAGACTAAATGGAAATTGGGGGCAACATTCCTTTCCTTTCCTCAAAAAGCAGAATCTGTTATTACTAAATGAAACTGAAAGATACTGATATACAGAAGGTAGACCGAATCAAAGGCCAGAGGTAAGGCAAAGAAGAGTTACATAGCCCTAATATTAAGAAAAATATGAGAAAGGGTTTCCTGAAATTAAGAGAGATATCCAAAGTAGATGTTTAGACCAAGAATTGATGGATGTCATGAACTGACGACAAAGAATTGATGGGTGCTATGCTCATCTTTACCTTTTATCCAAAATGTGGCCTGAAAGAGGATGTTGAATTTCTAATGTACACATTTTCCTCTGTAAAGCAGCAACATGGCTGAACATCTGCAGCTGCCCTGAGATCCCCTACAGTGAGGAAGCACAGCTCACTCACCTGCCTCCTTGATGTGCTTATAAACATCATCACTGCCAGCAGATGAATAAGGAATATCATCATGGGCTACAAAATCAATCTGAAAATAAGGAAACATCATTAAAACCCATGATAACTGCCATTCAGAAAGACCCAGTCAATGTTCTCAGGCCCAGAAAAAGGACAATAGGCAGAGGCCAGGCCTCAGTGGACTTCATATCTCTCTTTGCTTTGCTCATAAATTCTACAATCTATTCACAAACCACCCAACCTAATGATTTATGGAGTATACATATGAAGTTAGCCAGCTGCTTTTGTAGCTATTTCTCCTAGTCTGCTAGAACTGTTACCCTCACTCTGTATACCAGTCATCTTGCTGTGGTCAATAGGGCCAGAGGGTTTGCTGGTGAACCGGTTAGTGGGTGGAGCCTAGGAAAGAAGGAAATCTCCCTGTCCTGGGTCTGGAAGGATTTGGTCAAATAAGGGTTTCTAAAAGTATGAGAAAGGCCAGGCACGGTGGCTCATGCCTGTAATCCCAGCACTTTGGGAGGCCAAGGCGGGCAGATCACGAGGTCAGGAGTTCAAGACTAACGTGGCTAACATGGTGAAACCCCGTCTCTACTAAAAATACAAAAAAATTAGCCAGGCATGGTGGCGGGCGCTTGTAGTCCCAGCTACTTGGGAGGCTGAGGCAGGAGAATTGCTTGAACCCAGGAGGCAGAGGCTACAGTGAGCCAAAATCGCACCACTGCACTCCAGCCTGGGTGACAAAGCAAGACTCTGTCTCAAAAAAAAAAAAAGTATGAGAAAGAGGTTACTTCTTTCTTAACTAGTTTCTCTCAGTCCGTGAGAAAAGAGGGAATATAAAAATAGCAACCACGAGCCCTCTGACTGGAATAGATACATCTATTGGCCTGAGAAATACAAACCGAAGGCCATAAGAGAAGTTTTCTCCCTCTCCCCTCTCCCTTCTCCCCTCTCCCCTCTCCCTCTCCCCACGGTCTCCCTCTCCCTCTCTTTCTATGGTCTCCCTCTGATGCCGAGCGGAAGCTGGACTGTACTGCCGCCATCTCTGCTCACTGCAACCTCCCTGCCTGATTCTCCTGCCTCAGCCTGCCCAGTGCCTGCCATTGCAGGCGCACGCCGCCACGCCTGACTGGTTTTCGTATTTTTTTGGTGGAGACAGGGTTTTGCTGTGTTGGCCGGGCTGGTCTCCAGCTCCTAACCGCGAGTGATCCGCCAGCCTCGGCCTCCCGAGGTGCCGGGATTGCAGACGGAGTCTCGTTCACTCAGTGCTCAATGCTGCCCAGGCTGGAGTGCAGTGGCGTGATCTCGGCTCGCTACAACCTCCACCTCCCAGCCGCCTGCCTTGGCCTCCCAAAGTGCTGAGACTGCAGCCTCTGCCCGGCCGCCACCCCGTCTGGGAAGTGAGGAGCGTCTCTGCCTGGCCGCCCATCGTCTGGGATGTGAGGAGCCCCTCTGCCCGGCCGCCCAGTCTGGGAAGTGAGGAGCGCCTCTTCCCGGCCGCCCATCGTCTGAGATGTGGGGAGCGCCTCTGCCCCGCCGCCCCATCTGGGATGTGAGGAGCGCCTCTGCCAGGCCACGACCCCGTCTGGGAACTGAGGAGTGTCTCTGCCCGACCGCCACCCAGTCTTGGAGGTGAGGAGCGCCTCTGCCCGGCCACGACCCCGTCTGGGATGTGAGGAGCGTCTCTGCCTGGCCGCCCATCGTCTGGGATGTGAGGAGCCCCTCTGCCCGGCTGCCCAGTCTGGGAAGTGAGGAGCGCCTCCTCCCCGCCGCCATCCCGTCTAGGAAGTGAGGAGCGTCTCTGCCCGGCCGCCCATCGTCTGAGATGTGGGGAGCGCCACTGCCCCGCCGCCCCGTTTGGGATGTGAGGAGCTCCTCTGCCCGGCCGCGACCCGGTCTGGGAAGTGAGGAGCGTCTCCGCCCGGCAGCCACCCCGTCCGGGAGGTGAGGGGCGCCTCTGCCCGGCCGCCCCTACTGGGAGGTGAGGAGCCCCTCTGCCCGGCCACCACCCCGTCTGGGAGGTGTACCCAACAGCTCATTGAGAACGGGCCATGATGACGATGGCGGTTTTGTCGAATAGAAAAGGGGGAAATGTGGGGAAAAGATAGAAAAATCAGATTGTTGCTGTGTCTGTGTAGAAAGAAGTAGACATGGGAGACTCAATTTTGTTCTGTACTAAGAAAAATTCTTCTGCCTTGGGATCCTGTTGATCTGTGACCTTACCCCCAACCCTGTGCTCTCTGAAACATGTGCTGTGTCCACTCAGGGTTAAATGGATTAAGGGCGGTGCAAGATGTGCTTTGTTAAACAGATGCTTGAAGGCAGCATGCTCGTTAAGAGTCATCACCACTCCCTAATCTCAAGTACCCAGGGACACAAACACTGCAGAAGGCCGCAGGGCCCTCTGCCTAGGAAAACCAGAGACCTTTGTTCACTTGTTTATCTGCTGACCTTCCGTCCACTATTGTCCTATGACCCTGCCAAATCCCCCTCTGCGAGAAACACCCAAGAATGATCAATAAAAATACATAAATAAATAAAAGAAGTTTTATCCTCAGGATCTATCATTTCACTACTTTTTTTTTTTTTTTTGAGACCGAGTCTCGCTCTGTCGCCCAGGCTGGAGTGTAGTGGCACAGTCTCGGCTCACTGAAACCTCTGCCTCCTGGATTCAAGCGATTCTCCTGCCTCAGCCTCCCGAGTAGCTGGGACTACAGGCGCATGTCACCCCGCCTGGTTAATCTTTGCATTTTTAGTAGACAGGGTTTCACCGTGTTGGCCAGGCTGGTCACGAACTCCTGACCTCAAGTGATCCACCTGACTTGGCCTCCCAAAGTGCTGGGATTACAGGCGTGAGCCACAGCGCCTGGCCATTTTACTGCTATGAATATCCTTTGCAAGGGCAAGAAGAGATGAATGATACTGGGGATCAATAATGTTGTTCGGAGGCGTGCTAAACTTCACTTACTCCTTCCTGTATGGGCCACCAGCCTTTTGCTGATAATTACTAAGATCACTATACCATCCCCGAGAGACCACTGTAGTGTGAAGCATGTTCATTGGGACTATGTCAGAGACTCTCAGCCAGCATCTCAATTACTCATGAACAACTTGTCAGGGATCCATAGGCAGCAAAGTAAAGAATAGGAGGCCGGGTGGATCACCTGAGGTCAGGAGTTCAAGACCAGCCTGGCCAAAACGGCGAAACACTGCCTCTACTAAAAATACAAGAAATTAGCCGGGCATGGTGGCGCGCACCTGTAATCCCAGCTACTCGGGAGGCTGAGGCAGGCGAATCACTTGAACCCGGGAGGCGGAGGTTGCGGTGATCCGAGATCACGCCATTGCACTCCAGCCTGGGCAACAGAGCAAAACTCTGTCTCAAAAAAAAAAAAAAAAAGAATGGGACAAGCAAAACTCAAGGTTGAGTATATATTGTTAACAAAGAGAAAAGGGGAGTTAGAAATTCCTCTAACTTCATACTTCTGTCTGGGCCTGTGGGCTGTGGTGCTGAGAATAAACTTGCTTACCACCTTTGGTGCCACTGGCTGCTAGGTGTTGATGTAGAAAAGCCAGAGAATTATAAAAGGTCTGTCCTAATCCTCAATAGTTTTAATAAATATCCCCTCTTCAGGCCTACCCACGTATTGCTTTAGAAGCACTTTGGCTGCCTTCATTCTTTCTGCCTCACTGAACAATTTACCTACAACATTCCACGCGCCCCTGTAGAGAACTGACAACATGCTTGCTATTTCCTCAGGCTTGGGGGCCTCTAACCTGGCCTAATCAATCCTTCTCATCTTTTGTACCCACCTTTTGCAGGAAACCTGTGGCTTTTTTTTTTTTAAAGTAGAGACAGGGTCTCGGTATGTTGCCCAGGCTGGTCTTGAGCTCCTGGGCTCAAGCGATCCTCCCACCTTGGCCTCCCAAAGTGCTTGGATTACAGGCGTGAGCCACTGCACCTGGCTGAAATCTGTTACTTTAATGTGGGAGAATTAAAAGGAGGTAAGGGGTTGATAATAACTTACTGAGAAACAGTGAGAAATATCCTTGATTTCTGATTCCACCCAATTTCTAGCATAAGATCAAAGCCCTGAAATGAAACTTAAGCCAAGAAAAGTCTATGTTAATCCGTCTTATTTCCTGGTAATGTGACCGTCTTCAGAGTTCACCTGGGGCTATGGATATTCTCAGGAGACTGGCATGTTCTAAGGGTAGATGTGCCTATGGTGTGGGGGGAAGGTCTCGTAACTGGTGAGTTCAGTTCCCAGCCCTGCCAGTGGTGTAACTTGTGGCGAGTTCAGTTCCCAGCCCTGCCAGTGGTGTAATTTGTGGCGAGTTCAGTTCCCAGCCCTGCCAGTGGTGTAACTTGTGGCGAGTTCAGTTCCCAGCCCTGCCAGTGGTGTAACTTGTGGCGAGTTCAGTTCCCAGCCCTGCCAGTGGTGTAACTTGTGGCGAGTTCAGTTCCCAGCCCTGCCAATGGTGTAACTTGGAGCAGGTTATTTGGTTTCTCTAGCCCTTGTTACTCATATGTAAAGCGGAAATGACAAACACACCACAGGATTGCTGTGGGCAGAAAATGGAATAGAATGGATGTAAAAGTGCTTGCAAACCATCCAGCCCCATATAAACGTCAGGGGTGACTGTTATCACTAGTAATATCACTGTCATCTCCTACGAAACTTACATAAGAGGTAGAAGTAAAACACGGCTAGTGGAAAACCAGCCTACGTGCCAGCAGCTTTGAGAGTTGAGGGGATTCTGAAACAAGGAATGGGAATATGTGTCCAGTTTCTTACCCGGTGTTCGGCCAGGAACTCGGGTGTCAGCGTCCAGGGCGCATTCCTCACCACCTCATCCACGTAGCGGCAGTGCTGGACTGCGTCATAGCGCTCATTCTCGTTCATCACCGTGAAGCCTTTGAAGTTGTGTGTGAGCTCATCACTGCAAACTGGTTCACCACATCATAAATTGTGTGTTGGAGTCCTCTTTGCTTAGCACCTCCTCAGCCACCGACCTCTCCCATCTTCTCCCACTGCTTAGGACTGCAACCATCTTCCCCAACTGGAAAAAAGTCTTCTAAAGGTGGTTGAACCTGGGTGATAACGCTTTTCCTAATGCAGCGTATACCTTCAGGAGCAACACTCACTAAACAGTATGTTCATACTTTGGAGAAGGGACAGTACAACAGGTGACCAAGATCTTTGACTCTGAAATAAACCTGCTGTGCGTGTCTGCATCAATTAAGTCCTTAAACATGTTTTCCTGTTTTATTCACACTGGACTGGACCACCTAACATTTCCTTGGCAGACTTTTGTACTCCAGTTAATTCAAAATGATAAACTGAAATCTAAAGCAAATGTTTTAAAGTGGACAACGGAAGTCACGGCTGCTCCTGTGACCACAGAAACTCAGCTACAAGCAGTGAATAAATGCCAGATGGCACAGTCGAGGAGCTTGAAGCTCCTCTCTCCAGGTTTAGTTTGCTGGTACCCATATACTTCATGTGTGTTAGAGAGGCTGTACTACATCCTTCATTTAAAAATGGAAACAAGAGCCAGTGTACTCAGCTGAGAAAGACAGACTGTACTATCATCTTTTTCTGCACAGCACCTGAAGTCACCAAATGTTTTCTTACCTCCCACAATGAGGTACGTATTAGGGAAAAGGTTCTTCGCTTGCATCAGAGCTCGGGCGTGACCAGAGTGAAATAAGTCAAATATTCCATCGGCATAAACTCTCACAGGTCGCTCACCTAAATCCAAATGAAAGAATTGATCACAAAAATACCTTTTTTTTTGTCATTTTTATTTTTATTTTTGAGGCCGAGTCTCACTCTGTCACCCAGGCTGGAGTGCAGTGGCGTGATCTCGGCTCACTGCAACTTCCGCCTCCTGGGTTCAAGTGATTCTCCTGCCTCAGCCTCCCAAGCAGCTGGGATTACAGGTGCATGTCATCACGCCTGCCTAATTTTTGTGTTTTTAGTAGAGATGGGGTTTTTCCTTGTTGGCCAGGCTGGTCTCGAATTCCTGGTCTCAAATGACCCGCCAGCCTCAGCCTCCCAAAGTGCTGGGATTACAGGTGTGAACCACCATGCCAAGCCACAAAAATACATTGATTCGATATCTTGTACTTGGCAAATGGAACTGGCTCTGTGTGACAGTTCCATGACTGTATACTCCTTTCTTTTTTTTTATTTTTTTCTTGAGACGGAATCTCGCTCCATCACCCAGACTGGAGTGCAGTGGCACGATCTCGGCTCACTACAACCTGCAACTCCCGGATTCAAGCGACTCTCCTGCCTCCGCCTCCTGAGTAGCTGGAACTACAGGCGCCCACCACCAAGCCCAGCTAATTTTTTGTATTATTTTTTAGTAGAGATGGGGTTTCACAGTGTTAGACAGGATGGTCTCGATCTCCTGACCTCGTGATCCACCCGCCTAAGCCTCCCAAAGTGCTGGGATTACAGGTGTGAGCAACCGCGCCCGGCCCAACTGCATACTCCTTTCTTTAGGTGTTCTCTGGGTATTCACCCTGATTTTAGGGGTAGGTTGGGTTATGAAAAATGACTATAAAGACCTTTTCATTTTTTTTTTGAGACAGGGTCTCACTCTGTCATCCAGCCTGGAGTGCACTGATGTGGTCACAGCTCACGGCAGCCTTGACCTCCTGGGCTCAAGTGATCCTCCCATCTCAGCCTCCCAAGTAGATGGGACCACAGATGGACACCACCATGCCCAGCTAATTTTTTTTTTTTTTTTTTGTAGAGACCATGTTGCCCAGGCTGGTCTCGAACTCCTGGACTCAAGCAATCCCACCTTGGCCTCCCAAAATGCTGGGATTCCAGGTGTGAGCCACCATGCTCAGCCTATAAAGAGATTTTTGACATCATCATCTGCACTAACTGCCTCTGTTAGCCTGGTTGTACCAAACTTTTCAGGCACAACAAATAACAGAGAACTGTCAACTTAGAAGCCAGGAAATGATTTCCCGGGGAACAAGACTAATTCCAAAGTGAAATAAACATTAAAAACAGAATCAGCATAATGGTCCATCATGCTTTAAATAATAAATCTAAGGAGTCCATGTAACTTATTCCCTTTCTGTGAATAAAGGAAGAGCTATTTTACTGCAGCAGAAACTGACAGGAGCATTTACATCATTTGGGAAAGATAGGTCAAAGTGTCATCAGATACACTATGCTGAGGTTGAGGATCAGATACACCATGCCGAGGCTGAGGACCAGATACACTATGCTGAGGCTGAGGACCAGATACACTATGCTGAGGCTGAGGACCAGATACACTATGCTGAGGCTGAGGACCAGATACACTATGCTGAGGCTGAGGACCAGATACACTATACTGAGGCTGAGGACCAGATACACCATGCTGAGGTTGAGTACCACATACACTATGCTGAGGATCAGGTACACCATGCCGAGGCTGAGGACCAGATACACCATGCCGAGGCTGAGGACCAGATACACCATGCCGAGGCTGAGGACCAGATACACCATGCCGAGGCTGAGGACCAGGTACACCATGCCGAGGCTGAGGACCAGGTACACCATGCCGAGGCTGAGGACCAGGTACACCATGCCGAGGCTGAGGACCAGGTACACCATGCCGAGGCAGAGGACCAGGTACACCATGCCGAGGCTGAGGACCAGGTACACCATGCCGAGGCTGAGGACCAGATACACCATGCCGAGGCGAGGACCAGATACACTATGCTGAGGCTGAGGATCAGATACACTATGCTGAGGATCAGATACACTATGCTGAGGCTGAGGATCAGATACACTATGCTGAGGCTGAGGACCAGATACACTATGCTGAGGCTGAGGATCAGATACACTATGCTGAGGATCAGATACACTATGCTGAGGCTGAGGATCAGATACACTATGCTGAGGCTGAGGACCAGATACACTATGCTGAGGACCAGATACACTATGCTGAGGCTGAGGATCAGATACACTATGCTGAGGTTGAGGACCAGATACACTATGCTGAGGCTGAGGATCAGATACACTATGCTGAGGACCAGATACACTATGCTGAGGCTGAGGATCAGATACACTATGTTGAGGTTGAGGATCAGATACACCATGCTGAGGTTGAGGATCAGATACACTATGCTGAGGCTGAGGATCAGATACACTATGCTGAGGCTGAGGATCAGATATATTATGCCGAGGTTGAGGACCAGATACACTATGCTGAGGATCAGATACACTATGCTGAGGTTGAGGACCAGATACACTATGCTGAGGATCAGATACACCATGCTGAGGTTGAGGATCAGATACACTATGCTGAGGCTGAGGACCAGATACACCATGCTGAGGCTGAGGACCAGATACACTATGCTGAGGATCAGATACACTATGCTGAGGTTGAGGACCAGATACCCTATGCTGAGGCTGAGGACCAGATACACCATGCTGAGGCTGAGGACCAGATACACCATGCTGAGGCTGAGGACCAGATACACCATGCTGAGGCTGAGGACCAGATACACCATGCTGAGGCTGAGGATCAGATACACCATGCTGAGGCTGAGGACCAGATACACCATGCTGAGGCTGAGGATCACATACACCATGCTGAGGCTGAGGACCAGATACACCATGCTGAGGCTGAGGACCAGATACACCATGCTGAGGCTGAGGACCAGATACACCATGCTGAGGTTGAGGACCAGATACACCATGCTGAGGTTGAGGATCAGATACACTATGCTGAGGCTGAGGACCAGATACACTATGCTGAGGCTGAGGATCAGATACACCATGCTGAGGTTGAGGATCAGATACATCTCCTTCCTGTCTTCAGGGCAATGAATGAAGGAGAAGGAAAGTAGTTCTCAGGAGGTTTATGAATTTTTGTTTTCAAAAAGCTTTACTCATAAATAAGTAGATTTTAAACCAAGAAATCATACACTGCTGAAAGGAGTATCAGCAACTTTCAAGAAGGGCAATTAGGTCGTATCTATCAAAAGACAAACGACAAATGCTTATAGCTGTGGCCCAGCTTTTCTAATTCTGGGAATTATCTCACAGTAAATATAGATGTTATTCATTGCAGTACTGTTTATAATAGCAACAGTCAGGAAACGACCTACATTTCAACGGAAGATTGAATATAGCATAATACACCCACTAAAAGGTGGGAGGATATATAAACAATTTACTTAGATATTCACAGAAATGGGTAATATTGGTGGCCTGTTATAGGGATACCAGGTGGCTGTGAGACAGGTCTTGAGAGGGAGACATTTTACTTTATGCCCTTTTTGTATTTTATGGATATTAAACTGTGGGAATGTATTGATTTCACTTGATTTGATTTTTTGAGACAGGGTCTGGCTCTGTCACCCTGGCTGGAGTGCAGTGGCATGGTCTCAGATCACTGAAACCTCCACCTCCCAGGCTCAAATGATCCTCCCGCCTCAGCCTCCCGAGAAGCTGGGACTACAGCGCACACCACCACGCCCCGCTGACTACAGCGCACCCCGCCACGCCCCGCAGACTACAGCGCACCCCGCCACGCCCCACTGGCTACAGTGCACACCGCCACGCCCCACTGGCTACAGCGCACACCACTACGCTCAGCTGATTTTTGTATTTTTTGTACAGATGGGGTTTCACATGTTGCCCAAGCTAGTTGTATTTTTATTTATTTATTTATTTGAGATGGAGTCTTGCTCTGTTGCCCAGGCTGGAGTGTGGTGACATGATCTAGGCTCACTGCAACCTCTGCCTCCTGGGTTCAAGTGACTATCCTGCCTCAGCCTCCCAAGTCACTGGGATTACAGGCGAAAGCCACCAAGCCGGGATAATTTTTGTATTTTTATATTCGTATCCCATGTTGGCCAGGCTGGTCTCAATTTCCTGACCTCAAGTGATCTGCCCGCCTTGGCCTCCCGAAGTTCTGGGATTACGGGCGTGAGCCACCATGCCCAGCCCAGGCTGGTTGTATTGATTTTATAATACAGGAAATAAAAATTTTAAATTAAATATACCAATCCAATGAAAAACTAAGAATTAATTAATGGATTTAAGAGTCAGAAAGGTCATAGCTCAAGCTTTGACCAAGCTTTCCAACCAGCTTTCTTCCTCTGTAACCTTAACTTCCTTATGCCTCAGTTTTCTCATCTATGAGAGAAAGCAGGCTGGGTACAGTAGCTCACACCTGTAATTCCAGCACCTTGGGAGACCAAGGTAGGAGGACTGCTTGAGCCCAGGAGTCTGAGACCAGCCTGGGCAACACAGTGAAACCCTATCTCTATTAAAATTATTTTTTACTGCCAGCATGTGTCAACTAAAAAAAAAGAAGAAAAAAATATTTTTAAAAAGATAATTTTTAATAAGACAAAGCAAAATAAAACAAAATTTGAGCATATAATCCCCCTTCTATGTCCCAGAAATCACTGCATTGGCTCTATGCCTATTAAAAAATAATACATTAAAAAGATTTTTGGGCCGGGCACAGTGGCTCACGCCTGTAATCCCAGCACTTTGGGAGGCCAAGGCAGGTGGATCACCTGAGGTCAGCAGTTGAGGCCAGCCTGGCCAACATGGTGAAACCCTGTGTCTACTAAAAATACAAAAATTAGCTGGGTATGGTGGTGGGCGCCTGTAATCCCAGCTACTCGGGAGGCTGAGGCAGGAGAATCTCTTGAACCCAGGAGGCAGAGGTTGCAGTGAGCTGAGATCGCGCCACTGCACTCCAGCCTGCGAGACAGAGCAAGACTCTGTCTCAAAAAAAAAAAAAATTGAAGTATCCCAGAAGTCACGTCCATGAAGTAACTAACATAGTTCCATTTTCCCTAAACAAGTCCAGAGGGGCTATGATCTCACACTATTCGATCCTGAAACACAAGGGATAGAATATACAAATGAAGACTACTTTGTTGTTTCTTTGCTACTAGACAGCATACAGCAGGGAAATTTTGCTCAAGAAACACATTGCCTGGATGGTGGCAATAGCACAGAATGCTGTTGATCAAGTGGCTGCTTGCAGCACAGCTAATCATCCTATGTTAGGCCAAGTAGATCACTGAACCTTTTCTCAGACCAATCCCAGATGCGCCTCTTGCTCTCTCCAGTGCTTCCCCAGCCTACCAACATCTCAACTGGCCACCATTCCATCCCAAGTCTTTGGCAAACCCAGGCTGATATATTAACCAAACGGCCAGAAGGGGTCACTGTTGAACTAGTCTGGGAAGAAAGCTAGCGTTAGCCATTCTTTTACCAAGTGGCTATTGGCCAGGATAAACACACCCCTGATTTAATGTATGTTATAGTATATATAATCATATTTATATAAATTATATACTTTTAATATAATTTTTCCTGTTTCTATTATATAATGTACTATATAATACATATTTAATATCATTTATATATTATGCATATATTACATATGTATATATGTTATATAGATAGATAGATAGATTTTTTTTTTTTGAGACGGAGTCTCACTCTGTCGCCCAGGCTAGAGTGCAGTGACGTGACCTAGGCTCACTGCAACCTCTGCCTCCCAGGCTCAAGTGATTCTCCTGTCTCAGCCTCCTGAATAGCTGGGATTACAGGTGTGTGCCACCACGCCTGGCTAATTTTTTATATTTTTAGTAGAGACGGGGTTTCACCATGTTAGCCAGGATGGTCTCGATCTCCTGACCTTATGATCCACCCACCTCAGCTTTCCAAAGTGCTGGGATTACAGGTGTGAGTCACTGTACCTGGCCTATATATATATTTTTTTAATTTTTATTTATGTATTTATTTATTTTTTAAGATAGGGTCTCTGTCACCCAGGCTGAAGTGCAGTGGTGCAATCATGACTTGCCGTGGTCTAGACCTCCTGGGCTCAAACAATCCTCTCACCTCAGCCTCCTGAGTGGCTGGGACTATAGATGCACACCACCACACCTGGCTAATTATTAAAATTTTTGTAGAGATGGGATCTCACTGTATTGCCCAGGCTGGCCTTGAATTCCTAGCCTCAAGCAATCCTTCTGCCTTGGCCTCCCAAAGTGCTGGGATTATAGGCATGAGCCACCACACTCAACCTCTGTATATTATTAACAGCAACTCCCTTTCATGCTCAAAACCGTCCTGATTTGGATGATAAATTATATGGTTTATGTGGGTTATGAATTATACGCTGCACCACTGGTGACTAAGTAACCATATGTCCTCCTTTAGGCAGAAGAAACCTGGGTTTCAGTTAATGATCTCTTTTGATAGATTTACTCTCCCAAATACCTACCACCGAAACATTCTGTTCCTAACATTTCCATTGCCCTTCACACTCTCCCTTTTCCTTCCTTTCTCTGAGTTAAACATATTGCTGATTTTTTTCATCTCCCAAAAGATTCCTAGAGCTGACCTTCTTGTCTCTCAAATCATATTTGTTTTTCTCTAAGTAGAGAATCTTCTCCTAGATTATACAACCTCCCTCGTAAAAACCTGGGGAGCAGGAGGGAGGTGTTGAAACTTCACTAGAGCAGGTGCATTCTTTATTGCTTTATTCCTTGTCCTGCACTGGCATGAATGCAGTTACCTACTTGGTGATTTAACATAAAACAGTCAGACAAAATGAGATCTAAGAGAAAAACCAGAGTTCAAATTAAGCTGGCAAATTTATAGGCTAATTTGTGGCTGTTTGTTCCACCAAAAATACAATTATTTTGCTGAAGGCCTTCTATTCTAATGCTTACAATGAGTAGCACCATTCCCGGGTGAGGTTTGAGCTGCAATTCTATTCCACTAATCATCCGTTTTACTGTAGGGGAAGCCTTCGCTTCTTGGTTACTATGGACCTTAATTGCTTTATGTACTTAATGAAGAAACTATAAAGTAGATAATCTTGAAAATGACTTATTTGTAAAATCCTATAATTCTAAAATTAAAAACAATTATACCAGTCAGGACTTGTTAATTATAAGCTTTAAAACTTGGAAACAGGCCCGGCACGGTGGCTCACTCCTGTAATCCCAGCTACTTGGGAGGCTGAGATTTGAGAACTGCTTGAACCCAGAAGGGAAATGTTGCAGTGAGCTGAGATCACACCACCGCACTCCAGCCTGGTTGACAAGCGAGACTCTGTCTCAAAAACAAAACAAAACAAAAGATCAACTTGGAAACAGTACACATATTTTCAAATTTTATGTACCACAAATGATATATAGACAAATTAGCAACAAACTGGATAATGCAACCCATCAGATCAAATCTAAATGAATAGCTGATTGTAAATGTGTGTCATTAGAGAGTATGTAAAAAGTTCTTGCTTTCAATAGCCTCTACTATCACATCTGAATGTGAACCCTGAACTATCTTCTGGCGTTTTGAAGTTAGACCTGGCTACCATTACACAATCCATAGTCTCTGGTTTTCTTTGTCATTTTACCCTGCCTCCAGGAGCCTACCTATTACCCAAATAAGGGAAGCCAAACTCAAAAATCTTATCATGAATCAGAAGGTTGTGATCAATATGAACTATATCTACACATTTTTTCAAAAGGAAAGGATTCTCTGGAATTAGCCTCTTTTTTGTTGAGGACCCCAAACCCACAATACATATACCCAAGATAAGGCCAAAGGATAGGTGTTAAAATTCCCGGCATTGGCCGGCGCGGTGGCTCACGCCTGCAATCCCAGCACTTTGGGAGGCTGAGGTGGGTGGATCACGAGGTCAGGAGTTCGAGGCCAGCCTGGCCAACATGGTGAAACCCCGTCTCTACTAAAAATACAAAAATTAGCCAGGCGTGGTGGTGCACACCTGTAATCCCAGCTACTCGGGAGGCTGGGGCAGAAGAATTGCTTGAACCCGGGAGGAGGAGGTTGCACTGAGCCAAGATTGTGCCACTGCATGCCAGCCTGGGCAACAGAGTGAGACTCTGCCTCAAAAGAAAAAAAAATTTCCCAGTATGACACTGTACATCACTTCTATTTGTTTTTTGTTTGTTTGTTTTGAGACAGGGTCTCGCTCTGTCACCCAGGCTGGAGTACAGTGGCATGATCTCAGCTCACTGCAATCTCTGCCTCCCAGGTTCACATAATTCTCGTGCCTTAGCCTCCCGAGTAGCTGGGACTACAGGTGCCCACCACCACGCCCAGCTAACTTTTGTATTTTTAGTAGAGAAGGGGTTTCACCATGTTAACCAGGCTGGTCTCGAACTCCTGACATCAAGTGATGATCTGCCCGCCTTGGTGTCCAAAGTGCTGGGATTACAGGTGTGAGCCACCACTCCTGGCCCACTTCTATTTGTATTTCACTGTTCTTCAGTTACTACAGAGAGCAAACATACCAACACAATTAAGAAGTAACCACAAATATACTGTATATGCTGCAAATGCACAGATTTGTGGCTATAAATCCCTCTTATTCCCTGGTGTCTGTCTGAGTCTTAGTTCAGTCCTATATTTACAGGGTAGAGAGAACACTTAGTAATCAGAAGAAGTGAAAAAGGATTGGAAAAAAAGGGAGAATTGGGGAATTTACAGAGAAGAAAGAATATTTGCCTATAGGACTTTGTATTCATAACAAATGCTCTTGGAAGTTTCTTTTTATAATGATCTCTAAAACCAATTGCCCCACATAAGAAAAGCATCTCGAATATATATTAGTAATTTATGTGTCAAAAACTGCTAATTAATTATGTAAATTAAGCATGCAAATAAAGAGCAAGGGCTTTGAAAATAAAGTATTTTTTAAAACCTGGAAAATTATAATATCAGTAAAAATAAAATTAAGTGACGAGCATCTCCCAACTTGGGATATTTTTGTCCTCTATCAATCGGCAGCATCATAGCCAGCTGACAGAACGTAGAGAGGTGGTGGGGAATTCTGAAGGCTATGAAGAATGTGACACCCTGACACATGATTTGGACTTTATAGAAATAGATAAGATCATAACTCAGCTCAAGCTAATATAATATCATATTGTTTCTGTTTTACTGTATCTCACAGCTACAACAGCAGCCCAGGAAACAGGTGCATAATAATAAGAAAAAAAATGAAAGTTTATGGAGTGGAGTTACCCTTCTAAATAGAACATCAAGACAGGTGAGAAGAACCCCTTCGCTGCTGGCCTTTGCAAGTAAACAGAGGGCAGTATATAGAGAGCAGGTGTGTATTTGATAAAGACAATGGAATGCTAAAAACAATAGTCAAACAACAAATTAAGAAGGTATTTACTTACAAGGAGTTCCTCTGCTGGCTTCTTCCATAGTTACCCTGACATAGGGCTTACTAAAGTCAACTTCAATTTCATCAGAAAAAGGAGCTGGTTGCCGTAAGCCCTTAAGAAATGGAAAGTGAAGGAAAAGAAAGTTCAACTCAATGGCATACACTGTAATACTAAAAAAAAAAAAGATGAGAGAAAGGAGATTGATCTCTCTATTATAGATGGCTTCGTTTAAGAGATTTCGTTATTCCCGCCTGTAATCCCAGCACTTTGGGAGGCCGAGGTGGGTGGATCATGAGGTCAGGAGATTGAGACAATCCTGGCTAACATGGTGAAACCAGGTCTCTACTAAAGATACAGAAAATTAGCCTGGTGTGGTGGCAGGCACCTGTAATCCCAGCTACTCAGGAGGCTGAGGCAGGAGAATCGCTTGAACCCGGGAGGCAGAGGTTGCAGTGAGCCAAGATCAGACCATTGCACTCCAGCCTAGCCCACAGGGCAAGACTCCACCTCAAAAAAAAAAAAAAAAGAGTTTTTGTTATTCCTATGTATTTTATTCTACTTGATGCTGTTGTGAATGGAATTGTTTTCTGAATTTTATTTTTGGATTGTTCCTTGATATTATGTAACAGTGCAATTGATTTGTATTTGTGTTTGTGTAACTGAAATTTTCTGTATATTGATCTTATGTCCTATAACTTTGCTAAAGTTAATTATCAGTTCTAGTATCCGTTGTTGTTTCATGGATTCCTTAGCATTTTCTACATATAATATCATGTCATCTGTGAATATAGTTTTGCTTATTCTTTTCCAATCTGGATTTTTTTTTTTTTTTGAGAGGGTCCAGCTCTGTTGCCCAGGCTGGAGTGCACTGGCGCCATTTCAGCTCACTGCAACCTCCAACTCCCCGACTCAAGTGATCCTCCCACCTCAGCCTCCCGAGTAGCTGGGACTACAGGCATACACTACCCGACACCCAGCTGATTTTTTATTCTTGTAGAGACAAGGTCTCACTACGTGCCTAGGCTGGTCTCAAACTCCTGGCCTCAAGCAATCATTCCACCTTGGCCTCCCAAAGTGCTGGGATTACAGGCGTGAGCCACCGTGCCCAGCCTCTGGCCTGGGATTTTTAACTATAGTTTGTTTCTTGTGATGTTTATGTCTGGCTTTGATATCTGGCCTCACAAAATAAGTTGTGAAGTGTTCTCTTTACCTTATTTTTGTGTAAGATTCGTATTATTTATTCCTTAAATGTTTTTGTGGTTTTTGTAAAGACACTCTGTCACCGAGGCTAGAGTGCAGCGGCACGATCATAGCTCTCTGCAGCCTCCAACTCTGGGGCTCAAGCAATTCTCTCACCTCAGCTTCCCTAATAGCTGGGACTACAGGCATGCACCACCACACCCAGCTAATTTTTTAACTTTGGGCCTGGACCTGTCTTTGTGAGAAGATTTTTAATGACTAATTCCTTTTTTTTCTTTTTTAACTTGATATAAGTCTATTAAGATTTTCTCCTTTGTCTTGGTTAGTTTTTGCAACTTGTCTCTTTCTAGGAAATTGTCTATTACATTTAAATTGTCAAATTTTTGGCATGAAATTGCTCCCTTATAATCCTTCTAATTTCTGTATGGCTGCAGTGATGTTCCGTTCTAAAAAGATCGTATCATGATTGGGCTGAATCCAGAGACTGGGAAGATACTGTTTTGTTTTCAGGTAAGTGTAGATTTTCAAAATTGTTTTAACATTAAAACACGTTTTTTTTGTTTGTTTGTTTGTTTTGTTTTGTTTTGGCCAGGTGCAGTAGCTCATGCCTGTAATCCCAGCACTTTGGGAGGCCCAGGCTGGTGGATTGCTTGAGCCCAGGAGTTCAAGACCAGCCTGGGCAACATGACGAAACCCTGTCTCTACAAAAAAATACAAACATTAGCTGGGCGTGGTGACACATGCCTGTAGTCCCAGTTACTTGGGAAGCTGAGGTGGGAGGACTGCTTGAGCCAGGGAGGCAGGGGTTACAGTGAGCTGAGATTGCCCCACTGCACTCCAGCCTGGGCAACAGAGCAAGACCCTGTCTCAAAAAAAAAAAAATCACTTATATAAGTTTAGTTTAAGATATACTTAATGATATAAATGGAAACATTCTTTTTTTTTTTTTTTTTTTTTTTTTTTTTGAGGCAAAGTCTTGCTCTGTCGCCCAGGCTGGAGTGCAGTGGTGTGAACTCAGCTCACTGCAACCTCCACCTCTCAGGTTCAAGCGATTCTCATGCCTCAGCCTCCCAACTAGCTGGGATTGCAGGCATGCACCACCACACCTGGCTGATTTTTGGATTTTTAGTAGAGACAGGGTTTCACCATGTCGGCCAGGCTGGTCTTGAACTCCTGGCCTCAAGTGATCCACCCGCTTCGGCCTCCTAAAGTGCTGGAATTACAGGCTTGAGCCACCATGCCCAGCCAAGACATTCATTTTTAGATGTGTATGTGTTATTCTTCTTTGAAATACTTTTAAAAATAGAACCAAGGACCTAGATATTAATCAAAAACACAAGGAAATACTACTTCATATCAACCAGGATGGCTATGAGCAAAAAGACAGGCAATAACAAACAGTCTTGGTAAGGATGTGAAGAAGTTAGAACCATCATACATTGCTACTGTGAATATAAAATAATGTGCAGCTTTGGAAAACAGTTCTTCAAAATGTTAAACATAGAATTACCATATGACCCAGAAATTATACTGCTAGGTATATACCCAAGATAACTGAAAACATATATTAAGAAAAAAACAACTATGTCAGGCACGGTAACTCACGCCTGTAATCCCAGCACTTTGGGAGGCCGAGGCGGGTAGACCACCTAGGTCGGGAGTTCGAGACCAGCCTGGCCAGCATGGTAAAATCCCATCTCTACTAAAAATACAAAACTTAGCCAGGTGGCGTGGTGCATGCCTGCAATCCCAGCTACTTGGGAGGCTGAGGCAGAAGAATCACTTGAACCCAGGAGGTGGAGGTTGCAGTGAGCTGAGATTGTGCTACCGTACTCGTCTGGGAGATAGAGAAAGACTCTGCCTCAAAAAAACAAAACAAAACAAAAACAAAAACAAAAAACTTATACATGAAAAATGTTCACACTTGCATTACTCGTAATAGCCAAAAAGTAGAAACAACCCAAATGTCCATCAATGAATGGATAAACAAATGGTATGTCCACACAATGGAATATTATTTACCCATAAAAAGGAATAAAGTACTGATACATGCTACCACTTGGATGGATCTTGAAAACATTATGCCAAAAAAGGAAGTCGGACACAAAAGTCCACAAGTTGTATGATTTCATTTACATTAGATGTTCAGACTAGGCAAAGCTGTAGAGACAGAAAGCAGATTAGTGGTTGCCAGGAGGTAGCTGGAGGGGTAATAGGGAGTGACTGCTAATGAATACAGGGGGTTTCTTTTTGTGGTGATGAAATGTTCTGGAATTAGATGGTTGTGATGGTTGTACAACAGTATGACTAGACTATAAACTACTGACTTATATACTTTAAAATGGTTAAAATAGTGAATTTTATGTTATGTGAATTTTACCCAAATTTTAAAAGATACATTGGCCAGGTGTGGTGGCTCACACCTGTAATCCCAGCACTGGGAGGCCGAGGCAGGCAGATCATGAGGTCAGGAGTTCGAGACCATCCTGACTAACACGGTGAAACCCCGTCACTACTAAAAATACAAAAATTAGCCAGGCGCAGTGGTGGGCGCCTGTAATACCAGCACTTTGGGAGGCCGAGGCGGGTAGACCACCTTAGGTCGGGAGTTCGAGACCAGCCTGGCCAGCATGGTAAAATCCCATCTCTACTAAAAATACAAAACTTAGCCAGGTGGGGTGGTGCATGCCTGCAATCCCAGCTACTCGGGAGGCTGAGGCAGGAGAATTGCTTGAACTCGGGATGCGGAGGTTGCAGTGAGCCGAGATCACGCCACTGCACTCCAGCCTGGGCAGTGGAGCAAAACTCCATCTCAAAAAAAAAAAAAAAGAGATATTTTAAGTATCTTATCTTTCACAACTGTTTCTTCAGTCTTTCTCACATACTGTGTATATTTCCAGGTAGAAGACAAATACAGCTGTCCTTCCTGGCTGGGGTTTAGGCTGAATCCGTTTCTCCTAAGTATAGGGAGTGAAACCTAACGTTGTGCAGCTATAACAAAGCAGCAAAATCTTTTTTTCTAGAGTTGTTTCCAGCTAGAAAAGGTAGTATTTTTTTAAAACACTGTGTTATTCTCAAAGAACAGTGTCTCTAGAAGCTGAGGTTTATAAAAGTAGGACTAAATATTTCTGTGTTCTCCTAAAACACATCTCCTTCATTTTAACCTCAAGGGAATGCCACAGTATCGCTTTCAAGTCTTAAGACTATCTGGTAGTGAGGTATAAATGAAAGAACATGGGGTTAGGACTTGGAAAATTTAGATCTAAATCCCAACTCTATCATTTAATACCTGTGAAATCACAGCAAGTTTCTAAAGCTTTCATTTCATCTTCTACAAAATAGAAAACAACAATACCTGCCCTACAAGTTTACTATGAGGATTAAACAAAGTAGCATCCGCAAAGTAATTAGCATAATGTTTCACAAAAGTAGGCACTCGACGAATTTGTCGTTAGCTCATTTCCTCTTGTATTCTATAGAACACAGATTTCAGCATGCTAACAAAATTAACTCCTATTAATCTAAGAGGTTAGCTTCTAAAATGCTATATAAACTTTCCAAATGCATGCATCTAAAAGTTATAATGGAAATCAACAGTCCCCAAATTATGAATTGTCTCTGAATGCAATATTGCTTCCATAACAACTTTTTCCAGACTATATTCACACACATTATTTCACTATTCCTTAAAATTTCAGTGAAAACAAGAGATTCTGGCATCCACACTAACAGGAAAATGGACATAATTCAAATAATATAGACTAGAACTTGATATTGTCTTCCCAGTACACTTTTTACTTTCTAAGGATTCTTTTTTTTTTTTTTTGGCTTTTTTTTGTGAGACAGTCTCACCCTGTCGCCCAGGCTAGAGTGCAGTGGCGCGATCTCAGCTCACTGCAACCTCTGCCGCCCAGGATCAAGCGATTCTCCTGCCTCAGCCTCCCGAGTAGCTGGGATTACAGGCACCCACCACTGCGCCTGCTTAATTTTTTTAGTTTTAGTAGAGACAGGGTTTCGCGATGTTGGCCAGGCTGGTTTTGAACTCCCGACCTCATGATCCACCCGCCTCGGCCTCCCAAAGTGCTGGGATTACAGGCGTGAGCCACCGCATCCAACTCTAAGGATTCTTAAATATTTTTCAGCAAAAAGTTTCTGAATGCCACAGAAAAACATTTATTTCCCTTTCACCCAAACATTCTGTATTAATGATAAAGGGTCCTCCCGAGATCCCAATTGTTTCTATTTTTTTTATTTTTTAAGAGACAGGGTCTCACTGTTGCCCAGGTTGGAATGCAGCAGTGCGATCCATACCTCACTATAACCTTGACTTCCTAAGCTCAAGAGATCCTCCTGCCTCATCTTCCTGAGCAGCTAGGACCACAGGGGCACATCACCATATCCAGTTAATTTTTCCATTTTTTTTGTAGGGACAGTGTCTCTCTATAATGCATTGCCCAGGCTGGTCTCAAATTCCTGGCCTCAAGGGATCCTTCCACCTCCCAAGGCGCTTGGATTTTAGGCATGAGCCACTGTGCTTGGCCCAATTCTTTCAATAATGCCACGGGAAACGCTACAGAGTCAAGAGGAATACCATGTGGTATGAGAAAGAAGGGACAAAGAACAGAGCTGAAAGATTCCACCCCCCGGGGATCTGTTTTTTTGTTTTGTTTTGTTTTGAGACAGAGTCTTGCTCTGTCGCCAGGCTGGAGTACAGTGGCGCGATCTCGGCTCACTGCAAGCTCCACCTCCAGGGTTCAAGCAATTCTCCTGCCTCAGCCTCCGGAGTAGCTGGGACTACAGGCACCCACCACCACGCCCGGCTAATTTTTGTGACTTTTAGTAGAGACGGGGTTTCACCATGTTGGCCAGGATGGTCTCGATCACTTGACCTCGTGATCCACCCTCCTCGGCCTCCCAAAGTGTTGGGATTACGGGCATGAGCCACTGCGCCCAGCCAGGATCTGGTTTTAAAAATGAAAGAAAAGCAATCATTCTCCCTGACTCCTATTGCCATTTCAGTGAATGTAAACAATGAGCTCATCTGTCCAATTACTATTTGGATGTCTTATAGGCCCTCTAAATTGAACCTGTACTAAGTTAAACTCTTTGTCTTCCTCCTAAACCTGCTTTTCCTCCTGGTATTTCTTATCTCAATGGGAAGTACCCCATCTACACAACGTACCTAAGACTGAAACCTAGGAGTCACTCTTAACACCTTTTGTCCTTCATATCTCAGTAATCTCCAAGAACTGTCCATTTTACATCTTTTTTAAAAATTACAATTTTAATTTAAAATAGAGACAGGGTCTCCCTATATTGCCCAGGCTGCTCTCAAACTCCTGGGCTCAAGGGATCCTCCCACCTTGGCCTCCTGAAGGGCTGCGATTACAGGCGTGAAGCCACCATGCCCAGCCGATTTTACCTTCTAGAAATGTGCAAAGTTTATCTCGCACTCTCTGTACCTAATGTCATAGTTTAAGCCCTACTTCATGATTCTGAACTTGTACCCCATCTCTTGTTCATTTCTTGAATTCCTTGTATCCTTCAAAGTTCAGCTCAGAAATAACCCTTTTGATGACGCTTTTCCCAAACCACTGCCCCTACCTCTTGGTCAAAGTCAGTCTCTTGCTTCTCAAGATTATTTTGGTTGAAATGAGATTGGGAGGCCTATACTTAGCCATAAGCAGAACTATGGCCATCCTGACCCACCAACCCAGGCATCTAATACCTGGTATCCTTCCTACTCCTTTTTTCTCAAGAGATTGACTTTGTAACTTCCGTCTATTTGGCACTTTTCATACGTATCATAATTTCATACTGTATCATAATTATTTGCTGCTGTTTCTTTCTCTTTTTTGTCTGTGAGTTTTCCAAGGGCAAGGTCATCTTTTCATCCTTGCATCTCCAATGCAACTGGCAAGTAGAGGTTCTCGAAACATTTTGGTTGAAATGAGATTGTGAGGCCTACTTTGCCATAAGCAGAACTATGGCCAATTTCCCCCACAGTTTAGATACTTCATGACTCATTCATACATATGATATTCTTTGTAAGTTATTTTATTTTATTTATTATTATTTTTATTTTATTTATTTATTTATTTTTTTTGAGACAGAGTCTCGCTTTGTTGCCCAGGCTGGAGTGCAGTGGTGTGATCTCAGCTCACTGCAACCTCTGCCTCCTGGGTTCAAGCCATTCTCCTGCCTCAGTCTCCTGAGTAGCTGGGATTACAGGCGCACATCACCATGCCCAGCTAATTTTTTTTTGTATTTTTAGTAGAAACGGGGTTTCGCCATGTTGGCCAGGCTGGTCTCAAACTCCTGACCTCGTGATCTGCCCTTCTCGGCCTCCCAAAGTGCTAAGATTACAGGCGTGAGCCACTTGCGCCCAGCCTGATATATATTAAGATAAGCTAAACGTCTTATGTTTTGTAAATACTTTTGTGATCCTTTTGATTGAACCTTTAGAAACATCTGTATCAATAAATGATTTATACTTATCGACAAAATAGCCATAAAGTTTTTCCTAGTTTTTCCTTCTTAACTCCTTTGTCTCTTTTCTATCCATTTCATCCTGACCCACCAACCCAGGTATCTACTACTTGGTGATCCTTCCTATTCCTTTCTTTACATGCAAGGAAAGTACTTTTTCTAAAGCTAATGAGCTCCACCGGGTGTGGTGGCTCACGCCTGTCATCTCAGCACTTAGGGAGGCAGAGGTGGGCGGATAGCTTGAGCCCAGGGCAACAGAGCAAGTCCCCCTACCCTTTTTTTTTCTTTTTTGAGACGGAGTCTCGCTCTGTCGCCCAAGCTGGAGTGCAGTGGCGCGATCTCAGCTCACTTGCAAACTCCGCCTCCTGGGTTCACGCCATTCTCCTGCTTCAGCCTCCTGAGTAGCTGGGACTACAGGCGCCCACCACTGCGCCCAGCTAATTTTTGTATTTTTAGTAGAGACGAGGTTTCGTCATGTTGGCCAGACTGGTCTCGAACTCCTGACCTCAGGTGATCCGCCCACCTCAGCCTCCCGAAGTGCTGGGATGACAGGCGTGAGCCACTGTGCCTGGCCTGCAAGTGCCCATTAAAAAAAAATAAATAAACTAATGAGCTCTAGGCTATAGAATTCTACTCTATGCTCACATCTCATAAAAGGAAGGTCTTGTTTATCTTTACACGTCTACCACCTACTGCCATACTAGCGCATTGTAAATATGCAATAAAGGCCAGGTGCAGTAGCTCACGCCTGTAATCCCAGCACTTTGGGAGGTCGAGGCGGGCGGATCACGAGGTCAAGAGATCGAGACCATCCTGGCTAACACGGTGAAACCCCGTCTCTACTAAAAAATACAAAAAATTAGCCAGGCTTGGTGGCGGGCGCCTGTAGTCCCAGCCACTCGGGAGGCTGAGGCAGGAAAATGGCGTGAACCCAGGAGGCGGAGCTTGCAGTGAGCCGAGATCAGGCCACTGCACTCCAGCCTGGGCGACAGAGCAAGACTCCATCTCAAAAAAATAAATAAATAAAAATGCAAGAAAATCTTGCTTACTCAACCCAAATGTCAACTGGAGAATGAATAACTAAAAAGTAGTATGTGATATATGATGGAATGTTATTTGTCAATAAAAAAAAAATGAAGTACTGGCCGGACGTGGTGGCCCACACCTGTAATCCCAGCACTTCGGGAGGTTGAGGTGGGCGGATCACTTGAGGTCAGAAGTTTGAAACCAGCCTGAGCAACATGGTAAAACCCCATCTCTACTAAAAATACAAAAATTAGCCAGGCGTGGTGGCGGCGCATGCCTGTAGTCCCAGTTACTCAGGAGGCTAAGGCAGGAGAATCACTTGAACCTGGGAGGCCGAGATCACACCGCTGCATTCCAGCCTGGGCAACAGAGTGAGACTCTGTCTCAAAAAAAAAAATTGCCGGGCACGGTGGCTCACGCCTATAATCCCAGTACTTTGGGAGGCCGAGGCGGGCGGATTACCTGAGGTCAGGAGATCGAGACCATCCTGGCTAACATGGTGAAACCCCGTCTCTACCAAAAATAAAAATTAAAAAAAATCAGCCGGATGTGGTGGCTGGCGCCTGTAATCCCAGCTACCCGGGAGGGTGAGACAGGAGAATCACTTGAACCCAGGAGGCGGAGGTTGCAGTGAGCCGAGATTGCGCCACTGCACTCCAGCTTGGGCGACAGAGCGAGACTCAGTCTCAAAAAAAAAAAAAAAAAAAATTAAGTACTTGTACATGTTGCAGTACGAATGAATCTTCAAAACAAGCTCAGTGAAAGAAGCCAGCCCCAAAGACCACATACCGTATGATGTCATTTGTATGAATGTCCAGAACAGGCAAATCCACAGAATCAGAAAGCAGATTAGTGGCTTCCAGAGGCTGGAGAGACTGGGGGGAAATGGGGAGTGACTGCTAATGAGTACAGGCCTTCTTTCTGGGGTGATAAAAATATCCCAGGCCAGGCATGGTGGCTCACACCTGTAATCCCACACTGTGGCAGGCTGAGGCAGGAGAATCGCTTGATCCAGGAGACTGAGACCAGTCTGGGTAACATAGTGAGACCCCATCCCTACAAAAACAAATTTAAAAATTAGCCAAGCATGGTGATGTGCACCTATATTCCCAGCTACTTGGGAGGCTGAGGTGAGAGGACTGTTTGAGCCCAGAAAGTTGAGGCTGCAGTGAACTATGATCACACCACTGCACTGCAGCCTGGGTAACAGACCAAGACCCTGTCTCAAAAAAAAAAAGAAAAAAATTCTAAAATTGGTCATGGTGATGGTTGCACAACTCTGTGAATAAACTGAAAACCACTGAATTGTATACTGTAAATGATATGTCAATTATAACTCAATAAAGCTGTTAAAAAAAGAAAAAAGTCTTGCTTGCTTTTGTTATAGAGTTCAAAGGAGATTCAGAGCTAGAAAGTACAGGTGTACAGTGAGATGGCAGAAAGTTTACTAGCAGACATTCCTCCTCACTAAGGTGGGCCAGGCTGTTGGGTGGATCTCTGACCATTCACCTATGCCAAATAGTCTGTGTGTTTCAGGGAGGAATGTGGAATAGGTAGCAGCAAGTCACTGAACTGATTTCACATGAATATATGAAGCAAAGTAATTTAAAGCATTAAGACTCCCCAGAAGAATTTAAAAAAAAAAAAGATTCCCAGAGTCTAAAGACCAAGAAATTTAAGTTTTCTCAGAGCTCATTCCACTGAAAAGACTGGCTTCCTTTGCTTTATTCCTAGCTACAGTGATTGGCTGATTAGCTGACAGTATCACCTATTTGGTTATAACTTGTTCCTACTCCAAGTGATGTTGCTGAATTGGTACACACCACCATTTCTTTAATCTGAATTATCTAAGAAATATTCAGAAACTAACAATGCCCTGTTTTGTTGATTGCTGAGTCACTTTCTGAGCTTATTTGCTGTAGTATGCAGAATAATGCCCCCCTGCAGATGGCCACACCCATTCCCTGGAGCCTGTGACTGTTTTACCATACATGGCAAAAGAGACTCTGCAGGCCAGGCACAGTGGCTCACGCCTGGTAATCCTAGCACTCTGGGAGGCCGAGA
This sequence comes from Homo sapiens, assembly GCF_000001405.40. Lineage (NCBI taxonomy): Eukaryota > Metazoa > Chordata > Mammalia > Primates > Hominidae > Homo > Homo sapiens. The sequence goes on from NC_000003.12 coordinate 196,268,555, forward strand.
TAGGAAGACTACTTGAGCTCAGGAGTTCAAGACCAGCCTGGGCAACATAGCAAGACCCTTACTCTAAAAATAAAAATAAAAATAAAAATAGTAAGCCAGGCATGGTGGTGGGCACCTGCAATCCCAGCCACTTGGGAGGCTGAGGCAGGGAAATCACTTGAACCCAAGAGGCAGACGTTGCAGTGAACCGGGACCGCACCACTGCACTCCAGCCTGGGTGACAAAGCGAGACTCTGTCTCAAAAATACAAATAAAAATAAATAAAAATAAAAATAGTAAAGAGGCTTTGCAGATATGATTAAATAAAGGAAGATTATTCTGGTTTATCTGGGTATACCGAACGTAATCACAAGAGTCCTTGTAAGTGAAAAGGGGAAGTAGGAGGTTCAGAATCAGAGCAGGAGACATGGCAGAAGCAATCGTCAGAGTGATGTGAGCACTGGCTGGTGCCAAGCACTAAGCAATGTGGGAACCCTCTAGAAGCTGGAAAAGGCAAGAAGATGGACTTTCCCCTGGACCCTCCAGCTCTGCCAACACCCTGATTTTAGCCCTCTGAGACCCATTTCAGATTTCTGATATCCAGAACTGTAAGATAATTCATTTGTATATTTGTATTATGGTAATTTGTTACAAATGCAACAGGAAACAAATATATATACTTGCCCTTATGATCAATATCAGCCCTGCAGGCACTTGTCTATTTGTAGGGTATTATTTGCTTTTATTGCTCAAGACAGAGCATTCATTTGGAATAAGTATTAACTGTTTCAGAATAGATTTTTCCCTTTGGGCTGGGAAGCTCTAGAACTAAGCAGTGGAAACTGAGTTTGATCAATGGCTAATAGTCAATATAGGTAAAGAAACATACAATTCTGTCACTGGGATTTTGAAACACAGATTTCATAATAATATTAACAACAGTAGCTTCAATTGTGTGTAAGTGTTCTCTGACATGTTTTTATTATGGAAAGTTTTAGGAAGGGTAGCAAGCTGAGACAGGATAGGCAGTGTGGAGGAAAGCTTTAGGAAGGGTAGCAAGCTGAGATGGGATAGGCAGTGTGGAATGGGGTCTTTCATCTAAGGTTTGGCAATAATTAGGAAATACAAAGATAATTTTCCAGAGATAAAGGAGCATAAGGTAGGCATAAACGGAAAAAGGTTCTCATCTAAGATACAACTAGTAACAGGATGGAGGAATGATAGAGGGAGAAAAAACAGCAGAAAAGACGCACTAGACACCATGAGATGATACGAAGATCAAATCACTGCCTAGAGCCCCAATTTTTCTATTTCATTAGTTTTATTTATTTGTTTATTTACTTTTTATTTTTATTTTTGAGATAGGGTCTGTCTCTGTTGCCCAGGCTGGAATGCAATGGTGCAATCTCGGCTCACCGCATCCTCCGCCTCCCGAGTTCAAGCAATTCTCATGCCTCAGCCTCCCAAGCAGCTGAGATTACAGGCATGCGCCACCACGCCCGGCTAATTTTGTATTTTTAGTAAAGACAGGGTTTCACCAGGCTGGTCTCAAACTCCTGACCTCAGGTGATCCTCCCACCTCAGCCTCCCAAAGTGTGGGATTACAGGTATGAGTCACCGCACCTGGCCATATTTCAATAGTTTCAGCCTAATACACATGCAACTTCCATATTTTCCTAACACTTCTTTTTCTAAACCCAATGTAAAGCTTCTACAACTGAGCTGTGAGTCATAATCCAGTAAAAAGGCAGCAGATTTCCAGTGACTGTGAAAATACACTTACTATTCCTTCTTTTCATTATTTCAGAAGACATGTAACACTGATATCATCAATGTCATATCGGTTTCTACCCTCCCCCTGCCAGGTTAATCTCCACTTACCACTGCACAGCGCTGCACTTTGGAAGGAACCCCATCTTCTTCTGTTGCCCCGTTGGGTCCGGGCGCCTCTTTTCTCCTCTTCCTTGCATTGACCTTGGCTGAACACTGTGCATCCATCTTCTTTTAACTGGTCATAGAAAGTGAAAACAAAAATTTTCTCATTGGGGTGGGAAAAAGTTTGTCACCAGTATTTCAGAGACGTTGACGTGGATACACTCAGCAAAATACCAATTCTACAGCTGCACTTCACCAAGATGAGCCAATGGCATCTGGCAAAACCAGCGAAGCTTCACAAAACACAGGCTCTAGTAGAAATACTGAAACGCCTCTCTGTGCAACAATGGCCACAGTGAATTGCCTGAAGTCGGAAGTCATTCCCCCTCACAGTGCAGCCTACATACTAACTGCTCATTTTAAATCCTGATTGCATGCAAAAGATTGGAATAATTTGGCTGAGAAAGATAGTTACACAGACTCTCCCACTATCCTCCGCATCATCGATATGACAGGTATAAGGCAATGTGAAGGTATGACTGGTGCAGGTAGAGAAAAGAGCCTTTTGTAAACGGATGGCTCTCACCAAGTCCTGGATTAACAAAACACGGATTTCTTAACTCTAATTTTTTTTAAGACGGGGTCTCACTCTGTTGCCCAGGCTGGGGTGCAGTGGTATGATCTTGCCTCACTGCAGCTTCAACCTCGTTAGCTCAAGCGATCCTCTTGCCCCAGCCTCCCAAGTAGTTGGGACTACAGGCACATGCCACCACACCTAGTTATTTTTTTTTTTAAGAGACAGGCCTCGCTATGTTGCCCAGGCTGGTCTTGAATTCCTGGCCTCAAGTGATCCTCCCAACTCAAACTCCCAAAGACTTGGGATGACAGGCATGAACCACATCACTGAGTGAATTTCTTAACTCTAAAAGTTCTATAGATTTCAGTGACCACTTCACCAGAGTTACTTGCATGAAAATTGTGGAGTAGCATAATGGTTTTTATTTACTTTTTTATTGTTTTTATTTTTTTAGGGGTCTTGCTAGGTTGTCCAGGCTGGAGCGCAGTGGCTACTCACAGCCATAATCATAGCACACTGTAGCCTCAAACTCCTGAGCTTAAGCAATCCTCCCATCTGAGCCTCCAGAATAGCTAGGACCAGCATAATGTATTTTTTAAATGTCCTTCTCCTTCTTTCCTTTTTTTTTTTTTGAGAAAGAGTCTCACTGTGTCACCCTGGCTAGAGTGCAGTGGCACGATCTCGGCTCTCACAGCCATAATCATAGCACACTGTAGCCTCAAACTCCTGAGCTTAAGCAATCCTCCCATCTGAGCCTCCAGAATAGCTAGGACCAGCATAATGTATTTTTTAAATGTCCTTCTCCTTCTTTCCTTTTTTTTTTTTTTGAGAAAGAGTCTCACTCTGTCACCCTGGCTAGAGTGCAGTGGCACGATCTCGGCTCTCACAGCCATAATCATAGCACACTGTAGCCTCAAACTCCTGAGCTTAAGCAATCCTCCCATCTGAGCCTCCAGAATAGCTAGGACCAGCATAATGTATTTTTTAAATGTCCTTCTCCTTCTTTCCTTTTTTTTTTTTTTGAGAAAGAGTCTCACTCTGTCACCCTGGCTAGAGTGCAGTGGCACGATCTCGGCTCTCACAGCCATAATCATAGCACACTGTAGCCTCAAACTCCTGAGCTTAAGCAATCCTCCCATCTGAGCCTCCAGAATAGCTAGGACCAGCATAATGTATTTTTTAAATGTCCTTCTCCTTCTTTCCTTTTTTTTTTTTTTGAGAAAGAGTCTCACTCCGTCACCCTGGCTAGAGTGCAGTGGCACCATCTCGGCTCACTACAACCTCCGCCTCCCAGGTTCAAGCGATTCTCCTGCCTCAGCCTCCTGAGTAGGTGGGATTACAGGCACCCACCACCACGCCTGGCTAATTTTTTGTATTTTTAGTAGAGACAGGGTTTCCCTATGTTGGCCAGGCTGGTCTCGAACACCTGACCTCGTGATCCACCTGCCTCGTCCTCCAAAAGTGCTGAAATTACAGGCGTGAGCCATGGCGCCTAGCCAATTTTTGTATTTTTAGTAGAGACAGGGTTTTGTCATGTTGGCCAGGCTGGTCTTGAACTCCTGACCTCAGGTGATCCACCC